>NC_000003.12:197480561-197631561 GCF_000001405.40 Homo sapiens
TTCCAAATAAGACAAATTCACAGGTACCAAGAGTTAGGGCTTTTGGCGGGGATACAACTCAACCCATAATAATGTAGCATAGTAGACCTCAAAAACCATTTTAGAAATGAAGGAACAGTTTCAGTCAATAAAAATACAGTGAGCTCACTTCCAGAGCAGCAAATACAAGAACTTGGGGCTCAACATGCAGGTAGAAGGAAGACTGAGACTGTATAAAGCCTAAGCAACTCACTGGAAAGGGACATCCAAAGTAACCAGTTATTTGGCATTGCACGATTTTTTAGGCTCTTAGAACTGAATTTAAAATTTTTCCTAGTGATCTCAAAACACTAGCCATCAAGGCAGCCTGTAGCTTATAAATGCCTCTAACGATACCCTGTCTTTGGCTCTTCACAGAGGAGTGGGCATGTGTAATGGCTGAAGATACAAAAATGCTGAGAAATGATGTGACTTTCCTAGGAAATGGCAGGGCTGGGATGGGGACCCAAGCTAGGCTGACTCCAGAACTTGGGTATTCAGAAAGGAAAGTGATTCTATACATAGATTCCATTAAACACACACACACACACACAAACACACACACACACACTACAAAAAAAGACTCTGTGATGAGGACCCTGTCACAGAACCCAAGAAGGATGAAATCTCAGGGGTGAGATTAAGTCTCAAATGACTTTAAGACAAAGCAGAACGTCCTAAGAGTGTCGCCACAAGTTCTAATGAAACTCAGATATGGGACTGTAAGTCTGTCTAGCTATGACCCTTAGGGAGAGCTTCATGGCAAAGGAAGGTGCGGAGTGGGGGAGGGAGATCTCTTTGATCTGGGTCTGGAGGGGAAAATGCAAATTTCACAGGTGAAAATGCATTCTGAGAAGAGGAAATAGCTTGAGCAAAGGAGATAGAAAGGATAAGATATATTTAGAAATATGGGGAACAGAGGAAAACATGGGCAAAAAGTGAGTTGGGACCATCAGCTGATTCTTCATGAGGACCCTTTAATGGGAGTAACACTGGTTTGGGGTTCCAGCCCCAGCTCAGGTCCCCCCGCCCTGGGCCTCTGGGCCTGTTTTCTCATCTGTAAATGAGAGCGTTTCCCAAAGATGCTAAGTGGGGCCTCATGTTCTTCAGAAAAGCTGCTTTAATAGGTTTTCCCATTCAACTGCCTGGTAAGACTTCATCTTAATGGCTGGCCAGGTGCGGTGGCTCACGCCTATAATCCCAGCACTCTGGGAGGCCAAGGTTGGTGGATCACCTGAGATCAGGAGTTCGAGACCAGCCTGGCCATCATGGTGAAACCCCCATCTCTACTAAAGATACAAAAAATTATCGAGGCATGGTGATATGCACCTGTAATCCCAGCTACTCGGGAGGCTGAGGCAGGAGAATCGCTTGAACCTGGGAGGCGGAGGTTGCAGTGAGCCGAGATCGTGCCATTGCACTACAGCCTGGGCAACAAGAGCAAGACTTAAAAAAAAAAAAGAAAGAAAGAAAAGAAAAAAAAGAATGGTTTTCATGCCTTAGAAATGTCTAAAAGCCATTGGTCTCAATAAACAAATTCCCTCTAACTGTATAATCCTATTTCTTTCTGCTGTAGGCCTGAGCGTTTGTCTGGTTTGTTATTCAAATGAAGCATGACTCATTTAGGATTTACCAGCTTGCTCCGAATTGTCTGTGGCTGTATTAAGTCATTTGACCTGTTTCCAGTGGAAAATCCATTTTTATTTACATCCTTAGGTGAAAGAGCCTGATGGGGCCAAAAGAGTGCTAGGGAGCAAGTCCGAAGCCCTGGCTCCGTGCTGTGATAACAAACATCATTCATAAAGAAGTATAGACCAAAGAATATTTGAATACATGCTAACTAGCAACACCATCTTGGGCAAGCCTCCTTGTCTCTCTGACCCATCCCTCAAATGGGAACAATGCCTACCTGGTCTGCCTCACAGCATTTCTGTGAGACTCATATGAGAGAATGCATCTGAAAGTTCTTTACAAACCGTAGAGGGTGGTGCTAGGGGAATCAAGGCTTGGGAGAGCAGCTCTCCTGGTCGACTGTGGCGGGGCAGTTTGAGACCTCGGGAAGTGACTGATTTTCTCCAACAGCATTTCTCGGCTTGCGTGTTTGAAAGAATAAGCAAGAAACAATTAATGCATCTGCTGCCTTTCTTAGATGTTTCACCTCACCCCAAGTCCCGTCTAGCCTTCTCAAGGTCACTGAAATGAAGCTTTGTCATGAAAACTGGCAGAAACCTACTAGAAAGAGCCCTGGCCAAGATAAACCCCAGGAGAGACAGAGGCAGAAGGTCTCTCGTAGCTTCCGCAGATGTTGATCAGTTCCTCACATCATTTGGCCAAGGAATGAACGGGCATAATTTATGCTGCAGTTTAAGGAAGCACTGATTCTTCCATCGAACTTATTCACTGTCAGTTCATCTATTTACCAAAACTTAACCGAATGACATCTCCCTCTTGAGCCCAAACCACCATCCCTACCAGTTTTTCTAACCTTGCATTGCTAGAGCTATTTCTCAGGTGATTTCAATATGCTAGTCTTCTCAGTGAAAGAATTGAAACAGGCCAGGTGCAGTGGCTTGTGCCTGTAATCCCAGCACTTTGGGAGGCCAAGGCAGGTGGATCACCTAAGGTCAGGAGTTTGAGAGCAGCCTGGCCAACATGGTGAAACCCCGTCTCTACTAAAAATACAAAAATTAGTCAGGCGTGGTGGTGCATGCCTGTAATCCCAGCTACTCAGGAGGTTGAGGCAGGAGAATCTCTTGAACCTGGGAGGTGGGGGTTGAAATGAGCCGAGATTGAGCCATTGCACTCCAGCCTGGATGACAGAGCAAGACTCTGTCTCAAAAAAAAAAAAAAAAAAAAAAAAATTGAAACATCAAGAGATTGCAGCACTAGCTGGGCTGTCAAACCGGAATGACAGAAAAAATGCCTTTGTCCAAACACAATCCAACGTTCTCCATCTTATGGAAGCTACATCCCTTAGCCTGGCTGAAAGTGGCTCCAGTCTGGCCTCATTCAGGAGGCAGCAAGGACTGGTGGAAAAAACCCTGAGCTTGAGCTTGTCTCTTCTGCTCTTTATGCCTCAGTTTCCCTTCTGGTCCAATAATGAGGTTGAACTAGTCCTGCTATAAAGCTTCACTCATTTTCTGAGGTGGCGGTGGGGCTGAGGTGTAACACTGGGGTAGGAAGGAAGCTGAAAGGATACAGCAGTTCTGCTTTTAGCAGGTTGACACATTCTGAGTAGAGTTTCCTTTGGCAAAGGATTACTGTGCTGATTAAAAAATGCTTAAAAAACACAGGCCTGGCTGGGCATGGTGGCTCATGCCTGTATTCCCAGCACTTTGGGAGGCCGAGGCGGGTGGATCACCTGAGGTCAGGAATTTGAGACCAGCCTGGCCAACATGTTGAAACCCCGTCTCTACTAAAAATATAAAAATTAGCCAGGCATGGTGGTGGGCACCTGTAATCCCAGCTACTCAGGAGGCTGAGGCAAGCGAATCACCTGAACCCAGGAGGTGGAGGTTGCAGTGAGCTGAGATCTTGCATTGCACTCTAGCCTGGGAGACAAGAGTAAAACTCCATCTCAAAGAAAAAGCAAATCAAACAAACAAACAAAAAAAAACCATAGGCTTTTACCTGATGACTCTGAGGCTGCCCTAACAACTTTCCTTCCCTCTACCCTTGCGAGAAAACGTGTGTATTCTTACTGCAGTGACTTTACTCGAAACTCCCATCCCAGCACGTAATGCTCAAACTCCAGTTCCAGCCTCATCTCCTCCAAAAGCCAACGTGCCCATGAGGCTCTTCTCTGCTTCTTCTAACAACCCACTGGTTATACCAGGAGCCATGCCTGCCTTAGAGTGCCTTGTGCTGGGTGCCTCAAATGTCCCCCTACTTCCCCAACAAGATCATGAGACTGCTGCGGCAGGGACCCAGCTTGGGTCCGGCACTAATTGAGGACACAGGGATACCCAGTGAGTGACTGGATGTTGCAGAAGGCCACATCACTGACAGGGCCCTGAAGCTGAAGGTTGTTTAGAAGAGGGTCATACCCAACTCGGAGCCCCTCCCCATTTCCAAAGTGGGGACTGTGCAAAGAGCAGAGAGCAGGTGAATTCCCAGAGCTGGTAGAAAGTGGAGCGGGGTCTAGGACAACGCAGAATGATCCAGACGGGCTCGGCTCCCTTAATAGCTCCCCAATACCCTCTGTCCCTACTCCCAGCATGCTTTGGGTAGGCTCCATTGCCTCAGGGATTTACATAGGTTCCCTCTCCTCCTCTCTCTTCCAGTCCAGCCATTCCCTCCTGTGAAGAGACCAGATCCTGCCTCTGATCTGTCTCTGTCCCTGACACTGGACGAGATTGAGTGGGTCCCCTCTGCTCTCTGGCCCTCAGCTTCCCAGGTCTTTTCCAGAAACCTGCCACCCCATTGCATGAATGCCTTGCTAGGGTGGCCTGTTAGGTCGATCCTGCCTGTACCCTGGGGGCCTCACCATTGACTCTCCCGGGCTCCGCTCCCTGTGGGGCCATTCCCCACCCCTGGGTCCTGCCAGCCACAGATGCTGAGCTCCAGTTTTCTTATCTGTAGAAGGCCAGCATCCCAGCCCTGATACTCTGAGATCCACTCAATTCAAAAGGATCTTGAATCTGCTCTGTAATGCTCTCAGCACATTAGACCACCTGTTCCCAGCCTGAGTGGATATCCCAGGCTTAGCACCCCCGGCAGGAGAGTTGAGACAAAGACAATCTTGGCTTCTCTGATATCGTTCACATTACAGACCAGGGGAGCCTGCTCTGGAACAGCAGATGCCTTGGGGTCTGATGGTATCAGTGACACTTTCTGGGAAATAGACATAATCAGCCTGACCCGCAAAAGAACATCCACTAGAGCTGGGTGCTGAGGGGGACAGTGGCCAGCATGCCTCCACTGTCGGGGGACGTCTGCAGTGTGACCTTGGAAAGAACCCACTCCCTCTTTCCCTCCTTTTCTCTCATTCACAAACATTTATTGAGCATTTCCATGGGCCAAGCCCTCTGCTAGGACTTCGGGCTTCGAAAGCATAGTCCTTGCCCTAGAGAGCCTTGTAATCTAATTGGAGAAGCAGAAATACGAACCTGTAACTATAGTATTTTCCCCCCGCCAAACCCCAGTTTTCTCAATTCAAGTGTTACTCTGTGATACTGTCAGCACATTAGAGCACCTGTTCCCACCAGTTCTGCTGAAGTGGCAGGCCACAGTCAGCAGGTGACCCGCAAAGAAGAGTTAGTGATAAATGATGACTTGAATGGCATTGAGAGCGGTCCACAGTGTGGCTTGCTATGGCCAACAGACTGCTGTGGTTTGGTTCTTGCTCTCCAAATTTCCATTCCCTCAGCTACTGCCACCAGCAAAGCACTCGAAAGCTGTAAAGATTATTTTCAGCATGTCCAGGGGCTCTAAGAGAGACCAGGTGAAAGACAGATTATACTGTTGGTACTAGAGCCAGCACGAAACTCAAGCTCCTCTGATTGTTGGTCCAGGCTCTCTACAGCCCCACCGACTCCACATCCTTCCCTTCCTTGGCTAGAAATTGAGGAATATGAAATACATGTCTGGGTGAATAACAGGCTGTCAGGTTAAAACTGTTCCACAGGATTTCAAACGACCTGGAATTAGGTGGCCTGGGGTAGTACTTAACTAATGTTTTTCTGGCTGGTGGAAAATCTCAGATGTTAGTTGGGCAATTCCTTCCTTTTTTTTTTTTTTTTTTTTTTGAGATGGAGTCTTGCTCTGTCACCAGGCTGGAGTGCGGTGGCACGATCTCGGCTCACTGCAACCTCCGCCTCCCAGGCTCAAGCAATTCTCCTGCCTCAGCCTCCTGAGTAGCTGGTACTACAGGCACATGCTACCACACCCAGCTAATTTTTGTATTTTTAGTAGAGATGAGGTTTCACCATGTTGGCCAAGATGGTCTCAATCTCTTGACCTTGTGATCTGCCCGCCTCAGCCTCCCAAAGTGCTGGGATTACAGGCGTGAGCCACCGTGCCCGGTGAGAATTCCTTCCTTTCACATCCACATCTTTCTCTGTCTCACACATGCCCCATACTAGCCATCCTCCTTCCTCTCTGTTTCTCAAATTGAAACACAATTAAGGACAAAGAAAATACTCAGGTTATTGGACACATTTGCAAATCTTCACAATCCCACAGAGGGCCTTTAGCCCCCGATGAGAACCAGTGGCATAATAACCCCTCTTGGGAACCAGCGTCATTCTCCCGATTCTCTGTTATGCATCAGTCTTGGTCACCTTTCTTTTCTTTTCTTTTTCACGCTTGTCTCTGCTTGGTATCCTCTAGAATTTGGTTTTCAATGTCCTTGCCTTACATTTGCAACATCTTCAGAGAAAGTGGTCCTAGCCCATCCCAGCTCCCACAGGCTGGTATTTCTAGTTTCCTGGCCAAGGAGGGCACACCTTTCAGGTACACAGAGATACAAAGGCTGCCAAATATTTCTCATTGCATTGTTTAGCTGGAGTATCTCAGGCCAGAGACAGGGACATGACCAGGCAAACTTCAGAGGAAGTTGTGAAGCTGTGAGAGGTCTTGGAATAAAAAAATGGATCTAGAGCTCTTCTATTGCTGAATGGGCCATGTGACTGCTGCCCATTCTATCAAAGTGGAAGCCAAACCAGTCCCTTCCCTTAGAGCTTCCATAGATGAGAGGGTACAGGGAAGCAGGAGGGATGGGGTTGTTTTTACTCTTGCACACCAGCTAAATATCAGCGCTGGTCTCCAGAGTAGAGAAGCCGTCTACGAGAGACTTCCAGGGTATCTGTGCTGTCTCTGATACCAAAGCATCCGGGCACGGCACAGCAGCTCATGCCTATAATCCCAGAACTTTAGGAGGCCGAGGAGGGCAGACGGTAGCTCACGCCTATAATCCCAGAACTTTAGGAGGCCGAGGAGGGCAGATTGCTTGAGCCCAGGAGTTCGAGACAAACCTGGGCAATGTGGCAAAATCCTATCTCTACAAAAAATATAAAAATTAGCCAGGTGCGGTGGCGCGCGCCTGTAGTCCCAGCCACCTGAAAGGCTGAGATGGGAGAATTGCTTGAGCCCAGGAGGCAGAGGTTGCAGTGAGTGGTGATCCCGCCACTGCACTCCAGTCTGGGCGACCGAGTGAGACCCTGTCTCAAAAACAAACAAACAAAAAATGTAGTTCGACCCACAAAATATCTCAAGATTGTATTTGATTGGCTTTAGCTTGGGAATCAACTTTCATCTTCAATGGCACTGCTGTTTTGCAGGACAGCTTTTGACTCGACATAGAACAATATCCAGCAGTTTCTTCCTGACATTGCTGGATGAACACTGAGGCACATGATGAATTGTTGTGCTGAGAAACTCTGAGATGTTGCATGGGTCACGGCTGCTGTGAGAGTGACTCACAGAAGCCCAGACCTGCCTGGGAGGCAGGAAGGGCAGCATTGAGGGACTGACGGGCCCTGGGCCATGACAAACAGAAGCAGATGGGATGAGGCCCACAGGGACATTGTGTCATTCACTGGGTGACCTGAGCATTACCAGAGGCAGACGAGACTGCCAGGAAGAGCACTGTTCTCTCATCTGGTGGGTTTGCAAACCTTTTTCTTTTACTATTTTCTTAAAAGAAACCTCTTCTGAATTCTGTCTGTGGCTTTGGTTGGGATCCAGCCAAGCTTTAGTTTAAAAATAAGACATATTACATTGTTACGGAATTATCAAGCTTTGGTCAACGTCGACATCAACATCATTAGCAAAACATGATTCAGGTGTTCGGCTGGGCAGACCCTCGCACATGGCAATCTAAATGAATAAGCACACTTCCTTCTCATTTTTGAGAATGTAGCTGAGAAGCAAAAATGAATACTGATGTGGATGAAAATGTAAAAGGCTTGCAGACACATACCGTGCACACCAAATTTCGGCACACAACATTAAGAAGGAATAAAAGGTAAGGTGCCTGATCCTTCGTCACACGTGTACCCACCTGATGGCATGCTGATGCCCATCAGTTGAGGTCGGTGGCGAGAGAAGGGTGGATTTGAAGGGTCATTTCAAATTCTTCTGAGTCAAAGTGGCCTAGACCAGGAGCCCCCGAGCAGAGACCATGGCTTTTAATTTTGAATCTTCACCATCCAACCCGGGGCCGAGTAGCTAGGCAGTAGTTTGATTGTAGTAACTCTTATCTTACTGTCATTATAATCTCTGCTGTTGAATGTCCCTGCATCACCTTCTAACTACCCCACCATACGAGGCTGTCATAAATGAGGGTTGATACTCACAGGTGTCTTCAGCTTGTCTCATTTTGTGGGAAGTGCACCATATCACTGTTCTGGAAGCTTTTTTCTCCAGAATTCCATAAGCTGGAACAACTATTTATGAACCTCATTTATAAGAGATGACAGTTGCCAGTAGTACAATGAAATACATGCTGTGAGAAAATGAAGTGTTCTAATCAATTAAACATACGTACAAGGCAGAATGAACTTTTATATCCCTCTAACCGGTACCCCAGTCCCCTGGCCTTTCCTGGGGCCTATGATAAGCCAAAGCTAGGCCAGCTCAAAGGAGAGGGAGAGTAGCGATTCTGTAAGAATATCCATACACAGGAACTGCGCCAAGGGGAGGCCAGCTGGACAGAGAGCAAGGTTAGCCTGCCTTCTAAAATCCACCGGCCTGCTTCTCCCACCGGCCCCCAGCACAGTTCCTGCCCAGGTAAAGCAGAACCCAATGTGACCAAAAGCCTGACCTGGACCCAAGGCATGGCCTGGGAGTGGGAGCAGTAGGTTGAGGAGGTCCGAAGGGGCAGGAATTGGGGTGTGGGTGGGGAGTGAAAGGAGAGAAGGCCAAATGTGGGGGGAGGCCCTCAGGCCAAGCTGGAAGGACCTGGGGCTGAGGAGTGCCCAGGGATTCCCCGACTGGACCCCTGACCTTCCCATACTCTGACTGGGAAGACACAGTGCAATCTTTTCTTCGAGACAGAGTCTCGCTCTGTCACCCAGGCTGGAGTGCAGTGGCGTGATCTCAGCTCACTGCAAGCTCTGCCTCCTGGTTCAAGCGATTCTCCTGCCTCAGCCTCCCGAGTAGCTGGATTACAGGTGTGTGCTACCACACCTGGCTAATTTTTGTATTTTGGGTAGCAACAGGGTTTCACCATGTTGGCCAGGCTGGTCTCAAACTCCTGACCTCGTGATCCGCCCATCTCGGCCTCCCAAAGTGCTGGGATTACAGGCGTGAGCCTCCGCGCCCAGCCCGACACAACTCAATCTTGAAGGGCTGTTTTGTACATCCTTCTGGATGCAATGGTGCATGGATAGGCTAAGAGTACACTTGTGTTATAAATTGAAAACCACTGCTCCCGTCCACTCTTCAGATGGACGTTCTGGGTTTGTTTTACATGTGTTTTTCCTTTCTTTCATAAAAGAAAAGGAATCATGTTGTCATCAGTTTTTTAAAGTTTGTCCCCAGCTCCCTCTACTTTTTCTGTGTCTGATGGGGGCCAGCCAGTCACAAGGACCTCACCATACTAGCAGGGTGCGGCCTTCTAAATGGGCATTTGTGAAGCTCTGGGTGCTGGCTGGGCGGGGCAGGGTCAGAGAAATGCAAAGTATTCCAGGCATTAGCCCCGGAATTTACTCCCAGCCTCTCCTCTGCCCACATCATAGCCCCACCAGGCTGCAGTCTTCTCCCCTTGGATCAGAAGGTGCCCCAAGGCCTCTCTTGGAGATTTTACCCTGTTGGCTCATCAGGAGAGAGGAAGAGAGGCTAGGATCAGAGGAAATGCCTAATGAATTACCATGAGGAAAGAAGAAGCAGAATGTGAGCAGCTGCCTCTGCTGGTTAGGTCCAGAGAAAAGATGTTTCTGGATCTATGATTTAGGTGGGCAGGCAAGCAAGCAATAGGAGAGCCCGCAGCCAGGGGAGAGAAAACTCCTGGGAGTTTCTGCTTTCTGAAGCCGGGGGCAGTTTGCCCAGCCAGGCTGGAGGTGATGCCAGAGGGCCTCGATTTGGGGGTGCCACCTCCTGAGTACAGCAAATGGACCTGACACCCTCAGTGAAGTCAAGATAAGAGGAAGGCTGGATGCCAAATGGGGACAAAGGATTAAAATAGGCTTTGGGGGCTGTTCTAACCCAAGGAGAGGAAACACGAGAGAAAAAAACATCCCTGAGTGACAGCCCCACAGATTCCCAGAAGTGGGATGGGAGTGGAGAGGGCTCATTATAAGCTGTTCCTTTTGCAAACCTGGGTGAGCTGCTAGAGCTTCTAGAGAACGAACATCCCAGGACATCTGGAATGAAGTGGGCGTGGGGAGACCCTATGATATCAACTCCACTGACAAATTGCAGTTTACCAAGCATGGTCAAAACCAGCATCCCACAGCACGTGACAACGGTCCTGGGGCAGTGTCATCATCACGCTGCACCTGTTTTACAGATGAGGAGACTCAGACATGTGCGAGGACTTGGCCTGCATAGGTGGGCTTCAAAGAGAGGTGTGAGGACCACTGGTCAGTACGAGGTGATTTCGTGCTGCAAGGGTAAATTATTATGCTAATAGACACATATTTACTGTAATGAGCTTTTAAAAATATAATTAGAACCACGAAACCTGTGATTTCAAGGATACTGTTATTTTTTTTTTAGGCAGTCTTGCTCTGTCACCCAGGCTGGAGTGCAGTGGCGTGATCTCAGCTCACTGCAGTCTCTGCCTCCTGGGTTCAAGCGATTCTCCTGCCTCAGCCTCCCGAGTAGCTGGAATTACAGTTGTGTGCCACCATGCCCAGCCAATTTTTGTATTTTTAGTAGAGACGGGGTTTCACCATGTTGATCAGGCTGGTCTTGAACTCCTGGTCTCAAATGATCCACCTGCCTCGGCCTCCCAAAGTGTTGGGATTACAGGTATGAGCCATCGCACCCAGCCGAGGCTACGTTTTAAAAGTGAGTTTATTTAAAGTTGGTTTCAACAAAGTGGTAAAGAAATCATATTACATATGGCAATGGGTTTTCCTTTTTTAAAAGTGCAAAGGTGGGAAACTATGTACTGAATGGTGGTAGTGATGATGGTGATGATGATGATGATGATAGCAAACTATCATCATCATCAAGTTTTATAACACTCGGTGCCAAGCACCTTGCATATATTAAATTATTTATTCTTGTGACATCTCACGAGGTAGGGATAATGATGACTTCATTTGACACACGAGGCTTTAGGGAGGCACAGGGTAAGGGTGGAGGGCTACATCCAGGTGCTCAGACCGCAGTGCACTCACTCCTGAAGGCGGCTATGGAGGCCCCTGGCCAGAGGCCCAGGTGCAGGGGTGTTGAGAACATGCCTGCTGGAATGGGGAGGGAGTCCGTGTATGCCCTCTCTGCTTCCGATGCAGAACTACAGGAGATGCCATATTTCACAATGGCATTGCTTTCCAAAGCAAATGGGGACAATCTGGTGGCCACAGTAAGGTGGTTTCATGAGCAGCTCCAGCAGCATTCTGCTTTGCACTTTGGGCAGAGGCTGCATTGCGCAGCTAATGGGAGGGCCTCGGGCGGAATCTAGCTAAGTCCATTTCAGACTGGCCTTGCTGCCAGCCCGCTAAACTCTTCCAGATGATTCTGGCTGGGTTTGAGAGGCTTTACCAGACAGGTTGTCTCTGTGTTAGAGGAGGGGAGGAGGATGTCTGCAAAATGTCTGAAGAGAGGGAAGAAGAGAACTCTGAGATCAGGTGGCTGCTGCAAAGGCTCACATGACGAAGGCGGATTGGGGAGAGGAACGAAGAGACAATAGGGCTAGTGGGTCCTAAGAACCTCTCAGCCAAGAGCACAAAACACAGCTGTGCTAGATGGGTGTAATGGCATGCACCCAGTCCCAGCTACTCAGGAGGCTGAGGTGGGGAGGGCCAATATGCTGCCAGCCTGGGCAACACAGCGAAATTCCATCTCTAAAAAGGAAGCCACAAAGGCCACAGTTGTGCTTCTTACTGTTCACACAATTGGTCAAAAATCTTCCAGCGCATCCTCTCATTCAGCGTAGCATTTAAGAGCAAGAGCTCTGGAATCCTAGATTCACCTCTCATTAGCTAGATGGCCTTGCTGAGGTCATTTAACCCCTCTGGGACTCAGTTTCTCCATCTGAAAAGTAGGAATAATAAAAGTGTCTCTCGTAGGGTACAGTAAAGATTACATGTGATGGTCTTGGCGCAGTACGGGACGTGTGTGAAGTACCTGCTGGTGGTAGCTGTCACTGTTGGCATCCCCCAGGTCACTGCCCCTCTGAGGAGACCCCATCTGGCTTGGATTTGTAAGTCCAGGCTGACCTACCACAGCAAAATTTTAGAAAATTCTTACTTTGATTAGTTAATGTCCCTTTTAATTTTTTAAAAAAGGTGTACATGGGCAAACGTACTGATTTCATGGGATATTTAAGCCAAAGTTAAGATATCAAAGTGGCCAGAAAAGGGTTCCAAAGTTGAATTCATGGTTTTTCTCTCTCAAACCCTGCTTTTCCTCCCGTGTTCCCTGTCTTAGTAAATAACTCCTCTAAGTGCTGGGAGGGTCTAGAAAATGACACCTCTTTTCTGTTTCCAGGTCCTGATCAGACTGGCTACGCCCTCCTTAGCTGACACTGCCTCCCACATTGCAGGCTTCTGAGGGGTGTGGGGTGGATACAGCCGGCCCCACCAAGCTCACTGTGTGGCCCAGAGAGCAGAGAGATCACATCTGTCTGTGGCAGGCAGGGGTGATCTGAAAACCCAAAAGGCACTGAGCCACCCCAGTCCAGTTCCTCCTCCCTAATACACCATCATATAAGGAGCGAGGGGCTGTTACGCTAACAGAAGACCCTCCACCAGGAAACATGAGGAGTGGGGAATGAGTGTTCCTCTAACACCATCCACCACAAACCTCAGAGTCACCTTAGACACACAGTCTCCCTCACCCCTACCTCACTCCATATTCTGCCTGTCACCAAGTCCTGTCAATTTCACTTCCAAACTAGGTCTTGACTCTGCTCTCTTGACTCTATTATACAGCCACTAGTCCAAGACAGTATTTATTAACTCTCACCTGGACTGCTTACAGGCCCCCTCATCCACTTTTGCTGTCTCTGATCTGTTCACACTGCAGGCCCCAACTCTCCTGACATGATTTTTAACAGTTCTTTGTTGCTCTTTGGTAAAAACTAAAATCCATCATGTGTGCCTGATGCCCTGCTGGTCTAGCCCCTGCCTACCTCCCCAGCCTCGGGCAGCACCACCATCCCTCTCACCCCCAGTGGGAGCTCCAGCCACCCTGCTTTGATTTCACGGAGAAGACAGGCTTCATTCTACTCAGAACCCTTTCTCGTGCTTTCTCTCTGCGTAGAATGCCCACCCTTCCTTTCTTCCAACCTTCCTTCCTCCCTTTCCCTCCCTCCCACCGACTCTCACTCATCCTCCACATCTGAACTCAAATGTCACCTTTCCAAGGAAGCTTCCCAGACAAGATCAGATCTCCCTACTAAAGATTCAAGGTTTTGTGATCATTTCTTTCATAGTATTGAGAGTTGATAATAAGATAATTGTTTGATTCTTTGATCAATCTCTGTGTCCCCATGATACTCTAAGCTCCATGAAGACAGTGGTTTTTTTCACCCCTCAGCCCCTGGCATAGTAACTGGCACATAGTAGATGCCTGGTAAATATTTGTTGATTGATTGAATTAGACAGAAAAATTATTGTAGAAAAAAATGTGATCCCAGTGAATGGTTCTGGAGATCAAATGTCCCTTTTCCAGGAAAGTGGGGCAGGCTAGGGAGACATGGGATAGGTTGTTTGTGTGTGAGTGGTGGAGGGTGCAGGGGAAAAGGGTTTGTCTGGGATCAGAGTTCAGCAGCTGGCAGCTCAACTGGTTGCATGGGAAACGTGATTATAGTGTCAGGAGGGATTAATGGAGTGGAGCAAAGGAGGTGGTTCCTGGTAGAGCCCTTCCCAGATCAGATGCATATGGGATTTGAAACCTGGAGGGAGGAACAGGAAAATGCAGTTGTTGGCAACAGCCACAGCAAACATCACCAACGTTTCTCTGGGGTGTAGGCTCCTCCAGGTTGCCGCACCCACATGTGAGAGGCCTTTGTCATTTCATGGGATGCACAGCACCTGCATTCCCTTTTTAGTCTTGGGAAATCCCCATGGCATGTGTCTTTCTGGGAGGCAGCCAGATTTGTTTTTCAAACCTGGTTCTCCAGAACTTTGTGGTGGGTCTCAATGCTACCCAATATCCTTGAATAAATTCCTTTTCTGCTTAAGTCAGCCAAAATGAGTTTCTCTTGTTTGCAGCCAAGAACCATGACTGGTTTAGTCTGGGGCCAGCAGGGAAGTGATGTTCGGCTTCTGCACGTAGCCAAGCACGTGGGTGCCACACATGCAGACACTCCGAGAGTGGACGGCGCCACTTTGGCGGCCTGAAAGTTAGGGGCTCCTCAGGAATGCGGCAGGGGGATGGTGACCATCTAGAGCCAGGAAGAGTCTTTAGATGGACTTGGGTGGAGGCCACAGCAGAGAAATCATTCTATTGTTGAGACATGTCCGTGGGTGGGACACCTGGTACACCCCAGACTGGGGCCTGGGAAGCACCTTTCAGTCGGAGGCCCAAGAACCCACAGCTGGCTCACGGCCTCGTGGGAATGCAAACCCTACCCCTCCCGGGACTTCTGGTACTTGTTGTGCTTTTCCTGAACAGACTGCACTCTAGTATCTGTTCAAGATACTTTTCCACTTCCATGACCCTGAGTCTACTACAAAGACTAAAATACGGGAGGAAATCATCAGAGCCAGAGTGCACTCACCACACTTCCCACACCTCAAATAATCGGATGTCAGAGCAGGGAAGGCCCCTGGGACCATCAAGTCTTGGGGTCTCAGATGTCAGTGGGCCTCAGAATCACCCAGGAGACTACTTCACATCATGGGTTCCCATGGATTTCCCCAAGCCCAGAGCTGATCCTCTCGGCCTGCTGTGAAGCCCCAGGATCTGGGTTTTGTACAAACTTTTCAAGCGATTCTCATATGAGTTGTTTAAATACAGTGATTTTCATCCTTCATCTCATCTTACAGAAGAAGAAACAGACTCAAAAAGAAATTTCCTCCTGACCAAAACCCCCCAGAGAATTGATTGCTGAGCTGAACACTGACCTCAGGCTTCCTGACACCCACTTTCCTAGGCTGGCCGGGCTCGGCTGGGGCATGGAGAGTGTCAGTTGCATGATTTTTCTTCACTTACAGGGCCCCCCGTCCCTTTCCTTTTTTTTTTTTTTTTTTTTTTGAGATGGAGTCTTGCTCTGTCACCCAGGCTGGAGTGCAATGGCATGAGCTCGGCTCACTGCAAGCTCCGCCTCCAGGGTTCCAACAACTGTCCTGCCTCAGGCTCCTGAGTAGCTGGGATTACAGGTGTGTGCCACCATGCCTGTCTCATTTTTTTACTTTTAGTAGAGACAGGGTTTCACCATGTTGGCCAAGCTGACCTCATGATCCACCCGCCTCGGCCTCCCAGAGTGCTGAGATTACAGGCATAAGCCACTGGCCGCCCTCCTTGCTTTTATAAGACGGGCTGCCTGTCATGGGAAAATGCTGAAAATAGGGACAGATACCCAGTGCTTATCTTGGCCAGAAAGGCTGCTATGGCCTTAGTGGAGCCGGAAACCCCGTAGACAAAGCCAGAAATGGATACAGCAGGACCCTCAGCCCAGGTTCCAGTTCTGGGTCTCCCAGTGATGTGCTGTGACCTTGGACAAGTCACCCCACTCCCTGAGTCTCAGTTTTGTCCAGTTTATAAAATAGGGACAACCCTGCTGTCTGCTGTCTGTCCTGCCTACCTTGCCGGCCTCTGATGTGAGTGTACTTTGAAAACTCCCAAGTACTGCCCAAGCAGAAGGGATTACTGACACTGGAGGTGTGACTAGAATACTAATTTCCACCCAGGGTCCCCTGAGGACATGCTGGGCCCATCTTGGAAACAGTAGAGGAAGCTAAGAAGCTGCCAGCAAAGCTGGAGGAGATTGTCAGAGCCTTATGGGCTGGCTGGCAGGGAGAGCCCTTCTGCTCACACAGCCCATTTTCTTCATGCTCCTGTGTCAGGGAAGGTGCCATGGATGAGGACACTCACGGCGGCAACTGTGTGTGTGTGTGTGCTGGATGAGGGTGGGGTATGGGAAGTCACTGGATCAGGGCCCTCCTGCCTCTGGCCTGGTGCTGCCAGGACCCTCCCCCCATCTCTTACAGTGTCCTGACTCAGGAGCCCTGGGAAGTACTCAGAGGATCCCCAGGGAACCCCAGGAAGTCACCCCCCACCCTTTCATGCCTGTTTTGGCTGTTGCAGCAGGTTTGAGAGAGTGGATGAGCTCAGTCACCCTCTTTCCTTCCTACCACATCAGAACCATTCTCCCAGCTGGTGGGAGTCCCTATTCTCTTTACGTTATGAGGATGCCAGGATGCTCACACAATGCTGCAAAACACTTGCTTTGTCACCTGGTCCAAGTCCCTTTATCTCTCTGAGCCTTTTTCTCATCTGTAAAAGAGGGGAGGCCGGGCGCGGTGGCTCACGCCTGTAATCCCAACACTTTTGGAGGCCAAGGTAGGCGGATCACGAGGTCAGGAACGGAGACCATCCTGGCTAACACGGTGAAACTCCGCCTCTACAAAAAATACAAAAAATTAGCCAGGCATGGTGGCACACGCCTGTAGTCCCAGCTACTCAAGAGGCTGAGGCAGGAGAATCGCTTGAACCCAGGAGACGGAGGTTGCAGTGAGCCGAGATCGCACCACTGCACTCCAGTCTGGCAACAGAGTGAGATTCCATCTCCATAAAAAAAAAGTGGGGCGGGAGTGCGGGGAAGCAATTCCTGTGCCTCCTTCCACTATAGGGCTGCTGTGTCGAATGAGAGCAGGTGAAGGCGGGCTTGTTACACTGGAAGGATTTCCACTCTCTTGTAGAAGAAGTCAGGACAGAGGAGGCCTGGACAGAGGACCCACGAGAGGGGATGGTAATAGAAATGTCCTCCACTCCAGGAGGCAGGAGAGCTCTGCAGAGTAATTTCATTCCCGTCTCTAGCTGGGCTGTCCCAGGGCGGCAGGTCCTTTGCCTCATGATGCACCCCGTTCTGCCGTGCTGGGCTCAGCCTAGAGGCTCTGAGAGAAGACGTGTCAGACTCAGGGGCATCACGGTGGTGAAACCCGGAGAAAAGTTTTCAGAGACCTAAGCAGACACATTCCTGGGCCCAGGTGTGAAGTCGTCTAGGCCAGTGGGTCTCAAACTCAAACATTTTTAGCAGAACGCTTCCGTGTCAGATACTTTTTTTTTTTTTTGAGACAGGGTCTCACTCTGGGGTCCAGGCTGGAGTGCAGTGGTGTGATCATAGCTTACTGCAGCCTCCAACTCCTGGGCCCACCACAGCCTCCTCAATAGCTGGGACTACGGTGCCACCATGCCCAGGCTAGATACTGCTGAAGAATCACTGGGACTTTAGGAAGTTCCGCTGATTTATGGCACAGATGGGGAAATGAAGCTCAAAGAGGGGATGGAATGTGACCAAAGCCAGGCAATAAACCAGTGGTTAAAACAAACAAACAAACAAACAAACAAGCAAACCCACTTCAAACGCAGAGCTAACCCTCGGCACAGGTGCGCTTCAGAGAAAAATGGAAAGGTTCCTTCATTGAGGGGTCTTTTACACAGCCAGAGGATGGAGGCTCACAAAGGGGCTAGCGGATAGGTAAATAGGGGCCATTTATTGACATAGTTGCAATAAACAAATCTTACTGGGCAAGCAGGAAACTCATGGTCTCCTTTGAAAATGGAGGTGTTTCTCAAGGTGTGCCTGAGGCACTGAGCCCCTTTCTGAAATAAAGCAGAAGCAGGTGAAGCAGAACAGGACAAATGGACATTCCTTCCAGCTGCTTCAGCCCTGGCCCCCTTCCAGTCTCCCCAGAGCACTGGTGGCCAGGCTTTGCCAGTGGCCAGCGGGAGACTGACCCAGCCGCACAGAGGGCCCCAGGTGTCTCTCAGCGGTGGCCATAGGACACCTGAATGAGCCTCGAGCCAGAGAGAGTGACTTTTTGGCGGGGCTCTGCAAGTGGCTTTCTGCCCACAGCTCAGGGGTGGGAGTGAGGAGTCAGACCTCCAGATCCCTCCACCACGTTCACTCGGGACAGGTGCATGAACGGCGGCGCGATCCGCACAGGCGAGGAGACGACCGATGGGGGCGGACAGCCGGACGCACGGCTGCGTCACTCACCCTCAGCGACCAGGGCCCCACGTCCCTAAGCGCGGAGCTGGGGGAGGGGTCGGCCAGCTGCAAGGCCGCGGGGCCGGGAAGGGCCGGGAGGAGGCGCCGGGGCGGCCGGGGCTCCCAGGGAGCCGCTGAGTGGGGGAGCCGCGCGCAGCATCTGGGCCTGGGGCGGGCGCCCGGGGAGCGCGGGGTGTCGCCAAGGGGGCCGCACGACCCGCCCGCGGTGAGCGCAAGGCCCGCGTGCCCCAGCTCTCCTCGGTGGGGATTTTCCTCACCTGGAAAACACACGGGTTATGGAGGGGGTGGTGGTTAATCGTCGCACGGGGAAACCGGCAGACAGGTTCTGATCGAGCCCTTCATCCCAGTCACAGGTGGCAGGTGCCGGGCGCCACGACCTCACTGTGCAGGGCGCACGCTCTCTCCCCGCCCTCCCACACCCCAGCGGCCCCAGGCCCTGGGGGATTCTCAGAATGTTCCACGTGGAGCAGCGCTTGGAGAGCCCCTCCCCTAAGGGCGGGTGGGGGGAGGAAGGGCGAGGGTTTAGACCCCCACCCCCATTCCACCCAAGCACCCCCACTTTGTCTTTACTGCATTGAGACTTTGCCTGAGAGGTCATTTAACCCAGGGCCGTGACTAAACACAGCTGCCAGGTCCTCTTTCAAGTCTCATTTTGACTTCGTGGTGCACGCATGACCTTGGGCCACTTAGAAACCTCGGTGTCTCAGGTTCCCCACCCATAATAGTAATAGTACCTCCCTCATAGGGTCCTGGGAAGGATGAGTGAATAAACGCTTGTGAAGTGTTTAGAACATAGTGAGTCTGGATGACTCAACAGATTGTTTGCTGGTGAGCTGGGTGTGGTGGCCTACGCCTGTAGTCCCAGCTACCTTGGGAAGCTGAGGTGGGAGGATCGCTGGAGCCCAGGCGTTCAAGGCCAGTCTAGGCAACATAGCCAGACCTTGTCTGTGAGGAAAAAAAAAAAGATGTGTTAGATGTTGCTGTTATTATTATTACTATTGTTTTCCAATGAGGAGAGTGAGGCCCAGAAAGGATAAGGCGTTTGCTGCCTGGACGATGTGGCCAGTTGGTAGTAGAAGAGGGAATAGTAACAAGGCTTCCTGGCTGCCCAGATGGAATCCATTATTTCTTGGACATTTAGTGGTTGCTGCTTCATGGATATCTTTGAAGCTAAACAGATTAACAAAAGCCCACTTGGTGGTAGGCCATGCTGCGTAAGGAGCCTCTGGTACCACCTCCATGATCCTCAGGAACAGGAGGAGTGAGGAGAGGAGGAAGAGGGAGAGAGAAAGGAAGGTGGGGATAGAGGGAGGAGGTGGAAGAAGAGGAGTCTTGAGTCTTCTTAGCTCAGCCACTAAACGGGAGGTGGTCTCACTGGGGATGCTTCTGAGAGGACACTTTCATTAAGAAGAACTAAGCCAGGCATGGTGGCTCACACTTGTAATCCCAGCACTTTGGGAGGCCGAGGCAGGTGGGTCACCTGAGGTCAGGAGTTCAAGACCAGCCTGGTCAACATGGTGAAACCCCGTCTCTACTAAAAATGTAAAAATTATCCTGGTGTGGTGGCAGGCACCTGTAATTTCAGCTACTCGGGAGGCTAAGGCAGGAGAATCTCTTGAACCGAGATCACACCACTGCACTCCAGCCTGGGTGACAGAGTGAGACTCCATCTCCAAAAAAAAAAAAAGAACTAGGCCAGGCATGGTGGCTCACACCTATAATCCCAACACTTTGGGAGGCCGAGGCAGGCAGATCACCTGAGGTCAGGAGTTCGAGACCAACCTGGCCAACATGGTGAAACACTGTCTCTACTAAAAATACAAAAAAAAAAAAAAATAGCCAAGTGTGGTGGCACGTGCCTGTAATCCCAGCTACTCAGGAGGCTGAGGCAGGAGAATCGCATGAACCCAGGAGGCAAAGTTTAGAGTGAGCTGAGATTGGGCCACTGCACTCCACCCTGGGTGACAGAGCAAGACTCCATCTCAAAAATAAGAAGAAGAAGGAGAAGGAGGAGAAATAGCCCTCTAAAATATTTCAAGTTTAAGAATTTTGTTCAGAGAATAAGGATGAGAGTTTGGTTGCCTATTGTCTCAGCCTGTTTTGTGTTCAATTTTGGCTCAGTCCCAACCTCATGAATCTCTCCTTTCAATCAAAGAGGAGCTGCCTCTTCATAGCCCAGGTGATGTCAGGGAGGCTGTGGCCAGCATGGCAGGAGCCCTCTTCATTGCCTGAGGAACAGTAAGTGCTTGCACCCAGCAGTTAGAGACAGTCTGGTTCTGAATCCTGTCACTTTCTAACTAGGAAAGATATTTAAACCTAAGCTTCATTTTAGTTATCTATAAAATTGGGATTATAAATCTTGCCTTATAGTATCACTGGGAGAATCAAATGGGATAATGCATATAACATGCTTAACCCAAGGCCTGGCGTGTAGGAAGCACTTAATAAATGCTTATTACTTAGGATCAGATGTGGCTTCCTGCCCCCATGTGTATGCGATGGCTTCCTCATCTCCTGTCCAACTGGACTAGGGGTTCAGTTAGGATTTGCTTTGCATACAAGGAAATAATTCCAAAACTGTAATAATGCAGAAAAGGTGGAAGTTTATTTCTTCTCACATAAAATCTGAATGAGGGGTCAAAGGTGGAATGTGGTTCCCCAGTGTCTGGGATCCAAACACTATCTTGTTGCAATGTCATAAATATCTTGACTTTATGGCCCAAGATGGCAGCATCCCAAGTTCCAGGCTGCAGGATGAAGTGCCGAAGGAGCCAAAGGAGATGCATATAAGCTCCCCTTAAGGAAGGTTCCTGGAAACTGTTGTACCACCATTTCTGCTTACATCCCATTGGCCAGAACATAGTCACATGACTACCCCCTAGCTGCAAGGGAATCTGGGGAAATGTAGTCTTTATTATGGCAGCCATGTGCTCAGCTGAACATTGGTGGATCTATCCCTATAGAAGGGGAAAATGAATTATCAGGAACATGCAGCAATCTCTGCCCCCAAGTCCCAGCTTGTCTAGGCTAGCTAGGCACCTGGAAGCCAAGTACCTGAGCACTAGAAAACCGGGATGGGGGCATGCTGCTTCTCCTCAGCCACCCCCAGTGGCTCAGTCTGCAACTGAGAACATGGAACTGGAACCGAAACTTAGGCCTCTTGCCATGGGTCTGAGAAAGCCCTGCCCTGTTTAATCACCTCCCTGACGCGTCCCAGCCTCAACACTAAAGGCAGGAGGGATACTAGAGAGGCAGCTGACTGCCCCCTCCTGGCCAAGGAGAGGACAGTGAGCAAAGCTGCAGCTCCGAGGGGCAGAGGGCACAGCAAGCTGGCAGGCTTGGCACAGCCTGGTGGAGTCGCCCACTGCAGGACACACAACTACAAATTGTGGGAAGGCCGGGCCACCAGCCAGTGCCACAATCCAAGTGCCTAACTGGAAGGATCTGCACTGGGGGCTCCGCCCTT
The DNA here is from genome assembly GCF_000001405.40 of Homo sapiens. Classification (NCBI taxonomy): domain Eukaryota; kingdom Metazoa; phylum Chordata; class Mammalia; order Primates; family Hominidae; genus Homo; species Homo sapiens. The sequence goes on from NC_000003.12 coordinate 197,502,338, forward strand.
CTTCATCCTGTTAATGAGAACACTCGAGCAGGCCATCTGGCCTTTGCCAGGCTCCCAGCACACCTGTCTCCTCTCTGTCCTGATGTCTCTGAGAAGGGGAGGAAAACTTGCCTGCATCTCCCCACACTGGCACTTCTGAAACAAGCCCTCCGGCCCTTTCTGCTCCCGGAGTTTCACTCCTAGTAGCCACCAGGGGACAGAAAAAACCACAGCCACAGGTGCTCCAGCTCTCCCTCTCCCAGGCCTAGCCCCAGGTCTGTCACTAACTCGGGATGCAGCATCCCCGTCTTCTCTGACCCCCCTTTTCCTTGCTGTGCCTTGAGTCGCTTTTTAGATATAAGTTTCCTGGGCTCCACTCAAGACTTACTGGTTCTGTTTTTGAACCAGTTTCCCAGGAGATTCATGTGCGGTGCGTTTAGGATCCAAGGGGCTGGACGGCTTTCACAGTCCAGCTTAGAGTGATCTGGTTCTGACAGGACAGAGCTGTCTGAACAATGTCCTGGGGGATGGGGCACTCCTAACAGCCCTTTCTTCCCAGGGGCTGGAGTTCTTCAAGCCTCCCCAAATTATCCACTTTCCTTTCAGAGTCCATCCCCCTGAGGTGCTAAGCCATTCTCATCCTGCTCTGCTAGCTGGGAAATGTCCCGTCAGGTGCCCCACCTCCTGTTTCTATCTGTCAAAACCCTCTTCACTTGTCAAGTCCCAGCTGAAACACAACCTCCTTTAGGGAGCATCCGTTACCTCCCCAGTGAGAATTTCCTGCTCCTTCCTGGGCTGCCATGAACTTTGCTCATACATCCACTATAGCCCAGGCTGTCCTGAGTGACAGCTCTCCAGGTTGGTGCGTCCTATCTGCTCCACCCCCTCACGCCCTCAGCCCCACAGGACTGGGAACTCCTTCAGGCTGGGAATCAAATCTTACCATAGATATCCTGCAGCCTGATTATAGATCACTCTCAACCCTGAATGCTTAAAGAGAAAACACAGGAAGCCAGGGCCTGGGTAGGACAAACTGAGTGCTAACAGAAAGAGTCCAGGCCGGGCGCGGTGGCTCACACCTGTAATCCCAGCACTTTGGGAGGCCGAGGCGGGTGGTTCACGAGGTCAGGAGTTCAAGACCAGCCTGATCAAGATGGTGAAACGTCGTCTCTACTAAAAATACAAAAAATTAGCCAGGCATGGTGGCAGGCACCTGTAATCCCAGCTACTTGGGAGGCTGAGGCAGAGAATTGCTTGAACCCAGGAGGTGGAGCTTGCAGTGAGCAGAGATCGTGCCACTGCACTCCAGCCTGGGCAACAAGAACAAGACTCCGTCTCAAAATAAATAAATGAAGATCCCAAACACAGATAACCAGGGCAGGAAGAACTGGTCCATTCCCCTCCCCTAAGCTGAATGAATGAATGGGCTGATCCTCCTGGATGATTTTGAGGGTTTGTATTCCAGAAAAAAGAAAAACAAAAAACCCCTTCTTTGTCTAGGATGGACTTGTCTAGGCTTTTAGGCTTAAGGCCTTCTGGCGAATAATTTCTTAATCCACTCAGGAAATCTTCAGGGATTTCCAGTCAGGTGGTGATGCAGGGCTGTGGAGTCTGTTCTGCACTTAGCAGTCAGGAAGGGGGCCTGCAGAAGGCAGTGCCCTCCTCTGCCCTAGGCCTCTAGGATGAGCCTGAAAGTGGGCTCTGGCTGCTGTGGTTCAACCCTGAGTGGGTCCCCATTTCTGTCTGTGCCTCTAGAACACCCTTGGGCTACAGTGTCTGCATTTCTCAGAAAGGCTGGGGTGGGGACGGGAAAGAATTTTTTAGGCGGTGACTGCAGCAGCCGGGGCACCTACTGAGTCCCCGCGTTGTGCCAGGCGCTGGGCTGGAGAGCTTACCCACTCACCTATCTACACAACAACTCTGCAAAGTACAGACGGTTATCCCCATCACAGACAAAAAGACATCGAGGTTTGCAATGCTCGCTGGCAGCAGCCCCAGTGTTAGTGTTAGTGACCCTCCCCACCCCGCCCAAAAAAAGAAACTAAGGCTCAGAGAAAGTAGATAACTTGGCAGCATTATGCAACCAGGAAGTTGCAGAGCAGGATCAAAGTTAGGTGCATCTGGCTCCAAAACTTCTGTTCTTTCTAACTGACCTCACCCAGAACACAGTTGCCAGCAAGGCCTGCGTCTGTCCCCATCCCTCCGTCTGCAGGGTCTCTGAGGTCTCTTTCACCTCTAACAGGGCATCACCTGTGGGCTCTCTTTCTCAGGGACCACCTAGGTAAATCCACACAGGCGAGGAGAGGACCAGCAGGCACTAAAGCCAGACACACAGCTCTGTCACTAACCCTCAGTGACCAAGGCCCCACTGTCACTAAGCACATAGCAGCGGGGAGGGGTTTGCCAGCTGCATGGCCAGAGGAGGCGGGGAAGGGGAGGGAATTGGAGGGCCTCGGGGGGCGAGGGCAGGAGAAGCGCGGACCCTCCAGATGTGCTGTTTCTTTCTCTGCTGCAGTAACCCGAGAGCCTATCTATCTCTTTTTAATGTTCTGCTGTTTTCTTTCGTCGTACACTTAACCGCACAGAAAATAAGCCCTAGGGCTGAAAACTCCAGCTTGTCGTGGTGCTGGCAGTGGTGTGCGCTCTTCCACATCTGGGTGCAGCCTAAGCCTCTTGTCCGGTTCTGCCCTCAGCCTCCACACCACGTGCCCAGTCCCACATATCCAGAGCCCCCTGCCTGGTTATTCTCCAAGCAGTCCCAGCACCGCCTGCTTGGCAGCCTCAGGTTGTTGGCCTCTGGGTTTCCAGGGGCCCTTATATTTTATTATTCCTTTGACAAAGTCATGGGACTCCCTAAGTAAGGAGAGACCCCTGCCCACTCACACCTCTCGCATCAGCTGTCCATGAGGGGCTCCAAGGCTGTGCGGGGAAGAAGACAGACTGTGTTAGATTGAAAATGAGTATTTTTATTTACATGTGATGGAATCGAGCCTCTCACTTCCCGGCCCAAGTCATGCCCACGGTTACCCTGTGTCACCCTGGGCTAGACAGTGAGCTCTGGGAGGGCAGTGGGCTGCCTGCTGTCGGACGACCGTGCCTAGACAGGGCACAACGAAGAGATTCAAGTAATAAAGGGGCAGAGGGAGAGGTAGCAGCTGCCGTCCGGCACAGGGCTGCCCCTCAGAATGTGACACTAATATGGCACTGGGACCATCGGCAGCTCCTCCGCCCTTCCCATCACAGCCCCGGAAGTCCCATTGTACCTCCATTGGAACGAGAGCCCATCAGTCCCGCCAGCCTGCAGGGAAGAGTCTGATGCCCCTCGTGACATCACCGAGCTCTCCCGACTCCCTAGCGGCCTGCTGCTGTTGACCCTGCTTCCTGAAGGTGCCCCGAGTCTCCATAAGGCACAGGCTTCTCTCCCCGCACCATGCTCCCTGTTTCTTACGGCAGGTCCCACACCACTTTGTCCACCTCTGGTCGGACATTATGAGCCAAAACCTTTATCCAGAACACGATGTAGGTAGGAGAAAGAGAGGTTGCAGCAGAGTAAATGACCCAGTCACAGAACACGTGGCCAGATGGCCCCGCAGAGCACTCACCGGCTGAGAGTGGCCGGAGGGTGGTGGCCGGTACAGCAGTGTACCCAGTGCAGTCCACCACGCCCGCACTTGTCTGGCAGCAGAGTTGAGCGGCACTTCCAGGCCCCAGGAACCACGGGCACTTCCTCCTGAAACTGGGGTGGCTACAGCTGAAGCTGAGAAGAGCAACCAGCCTGCTGCTATTTCTGAAGGAGCCCAGTGTGGTTACTCAGTGTGCTGTAATTAAACTCATCTATAATTTGATAAGTGGGAGTAGCCTTACATTTTAGAGAGTAATTAAGTCTCACCAAAGGAGAAGCACATGGTGCTTCTGGGACCCAGCATCTCCTGAGGTTGGTCCCCATTCACTCTCCCTGTCTCTACACATCTCCACAGATGCTGAGGCCGCCAGGGTAGGCCTCAGCCACAGCTCTCTCCACCCTCAGGCATTCCATCGACATCCAGGCCCCTGGGAGATAGCACAGACACTGCAGACACACGTGCGACGAGACAGGGAAGCCTGGGCCTCCCTTTCCAGGCTGCTCCGCGAAACTGCGGACTAGGAGGAAGCTGGCTGTCCTGCTTGCCTGCCTGCCTGCCTGCCTGCCTGCCGCTCCTTCGCCACGTGCAAGGCGAGGTTCTGACTGCGCTGAGTCCAGCCCAGCTCTGGGCCCCAGTGTGGAGACTGAGGCAGCCTGAGGGTAAAGGAAGGGGCTGCGGGTATAGAAGTCAGATGGGGCTGGGTGCAGTGGCTCACGCCTGTAATCCCAGCACTCTGAGAGGTCGAGGCAGGTGGATCACCTGAGGTCAGGGGTTCGAGACCAGCTTGGCCAACATAGCGAAACCCCATCTCTACTAAAAATACAAAAAAAAAAAAAAAAATTTAGCCAGGCATGGCGCACACCTGTGATCCCAGCTACTCGGGAGGCTGAGGCAGGAGAATTGCTTGAACCTGGGAGGCAGAGGTTGCAGTGAGCTGAGATCACACCACTGCGCTCCAGCCTGGGTGACAGATTGAGACTCTGTCGCAAAAAAAAGAGAAGCCAGATAGCCGAGGTCTGGATCTTGTGGGGTCTGGATCTTGTGAGGTCTGGATCTTGCAGGGTCTATATCTTGAGGGGTCTGGATCTTGCGGGGTCTGGATCTTGTGGGGTCTGGATCTTGCGGGGTCTGGATCTTGGCTCTCTCGTTTCCTGGCTCTGTGATTTTGGGCAAATGACTTCACCTCCCTGAGGCTCAGTTTCCTTATTTGTAAAATGCAGACAATGGCACCGCCTAAGATATAATCCGTTTATGCAGATCAGATGAGAGATTTGCCACGAACTCACTTGAGTAGTTGGGAGGGGCACGTGCATGTGAGGAGTGTCAGCATCTCACCAAAGCTAGTAAACCTGTCTCAGAGCGCTTGGCGGCTTGAGGGGAACTCTAAAGACCATTCAGCCTGGTGTGTGTCATCAAGAATGAGGGATTGGATAACCACAGCTGAAACCTGTTCAGACAGCGAGGAGATGGAAATCTTGTCAAATGGGAGACCTGAGCTCTTAAACCTGACTTGGCCACTTCCAAATATCTGGAAGTCTATTTCAGAAGAGTTAAATTATTCTGTGCAGGTCTGGGTCATAACCAGGTGCCAAAAACATTAAGTGAGGTGGTAGATTTCGGCTCAGTCTTTGGATAAACGTTTCTGAACCAAGGAAATGGCTTCTTAGGAAGTAATGCACCCCCTGTCACTGGAGGGCTTCAAGCCCTGGCTAGCAGGCTCCTCATCCGGGAGCCTGGGAGTCAGGCATGATGATGGCTGAGTCCCCTTTCCTCCCCTGGGGTTGTGGGGGTCCTGGCAGCCTGTCCCAGCCCTGGTCCCTTGCTCAACAGCTGCCCACCCCGTGCCTCCGAATGCGCCACTCGCAAGTCACCCTTCCTTAGTGCCCGCACACACCAGAGAGGCCTCATATACTGTGGGGTTGTTTCATCTCCCCCAGAGCACCAGAGCCCCTCAGCCCTCTTGCTCTGTCTCTTTGAGCAGAAATCATCACTAACTTCTCAAGCACGGCGCTCATATAACCCTCAAGCCCTTTGAGGGCAGCTCCAGAATCCAGCTCTGCCTGCTTGGTCTTTGAATTCCTAGAGCCTGCTCTCGGGAATGGCCTTGACAGAGCCGACTTCCCGCTGGAAGGATACTGGGGGCTCCTCCAGCACATTCTCTCACAGGGGGCAGCACTTAGAGCCCAAAACGGGAAGGGAAGGAGGGTCTGGCTCGAGTGGCAGGACCCCATGGTTGCTACTGTGCGTAGGCTGAGAGTCTCCTCGCTGTTACGTAACTGAGGACTTCTTCCCTCCCTATTTTAGATCCTGCTGCCATCTGCCCTGATTTTCCGCATCACCAGCTCTGGGCTGGAGGTTAGATCTGGCTGGACACCCAGCTCTACCCCTCACTTGGTGACAGACTTGGGAAAGCCTGTTTCTGCAAAATAAGATAACCCCACCCTGCCTATCCTGCCTGGGTTGCTGTGAGAATCAGGTGAGAGGAAGCTGTGGTGGCTGGGTAGCAGGACCTGCACTTGGCCCCTGTGCCTGGTTGCTGTCTGGCCAACCCAACCTGGGGCTGCCTGAGCCAGGGGAGCCTCTGCTTGCTCATGTCGGCTCCTATATCAACACAGTTTGCACAGGTTTGCAGAGCCAGGCCCTGTTCGAAATACAGGCAGTGAACAGACCTCACAAATGGGGAGTCTTTGTCAGACCCCCTGCCATGGGTGGCAAGGGTGCAGACCTAGCAGCTTGTGACAGGCGGGGCCAGGCTGGCTGTCACCTGCTCACACAGCCTCTTGGCCCCGGGTGGAATGCTAAGCACAGCAGGTGCTCTGTAACAAGGCACTGTCAGGCGCATCTTGCAAGAAGCCCTTGCCCAGCCTCCAACCATCAGGGGATGGGTTTGTGCTGGCTGGAGTCACCAGACCATAGGTCCGCACAGGCAAAGGCCTCCTTCCTACTTACTCTGACAAGAAGGAGCGGCTCTCTGCCAGCAGACAAGCAGTGAGGGTCTAGGTGCCTGGTGACCCCAACTGGCTTTGCTTCCAGGGCTGTTGCGAGCCACAGTGTTATGTGATAGTGAAGAGTGCCACTCAGGAGACTTTTGTTCTGGCCCTGGTCCTGCCGTGGATTTACTGTGACACTGAGTGAGTCACTTTCCTTCTTTGGGCCTCAGTTATGTCATCTATAAAATGGGAATATACACCTGTTTTGTCCTCTCACTCTTTTTTTGTTTTGTTGTTGTTGTTTTGTTTTTTGAGACAGAGCCTCACTCTGTTGCCCAGGCTGGAGTGCAGTGGCATGATCTCGGCTCACTACAACCTCTGCCTCTGGGTTCAGTCGATTCTCCCTGCCTCACCCTCCCGAGTAGCTGGGGTTACAGGCGCCCACCACCACGCCTGGCTAATTTTTGTGCTTTTAGTAGAGACAGGGTTTCACCACGTTGGCCAGGCTGGTCTTGAACTCCTGACCTCAGGCGATCCGACCGCCTGGGCCTCCCAAAATGCTGGGATGACAGGTGTGAGCCACCGCGCCCGGCCACGCACTCTGGTAAAGACGAAAACTACGTCCTGCGCCCCGGTAGGTTCTAAGCTGCCGGAAAGTGAATGGTGAATATGAGGTTTGAGTTAGCACTGGAGTTATTTGGAGGGATGGTAGCCTGGGCTTTTCAATCACTGGAAACGATTAAAAGCCAGAACAACCTGCACAGGCCGGCCCAGCAGTTCTAGCTTACTCAGAAGATCCCAGTAGACGCACATGCAGCTTCTCTGACGTTCGGGTCTGCTGATGGGGACCCAGAGTATGTGGCCCTCCTTCCTCTAGTTCCCAGGCAGGGACGCACACGTGCAACTCCAAGGCTCCATCTATTTTCCTTTAATAAACTTCAGCACGGACACAAATTCGCCCAACATGTAAAAGTGCAATTCCGAAAGGATCCTGCTAGAACAAGGTCCACGGTACAAAAGCATCCTATGGTTATGTAACTGCAGCGGCCACCAAGCGTCCCCCTCTGGGCTCTGGAGGGTTTCGGCCCTGCCTGCCTCCCCCCCTCCTCCTGGGGCAGCTGGGACAGGGGACCCCTGTTTGAAGACAGCGGGGACAACGGCCCGGGAGGCAGCTGAATTGCCCATTGTGAGGCCCTTCTTCCTTGGCACTGCCTGAACCCCGTAGCCCACTCCGGCTGCCCGGGCTCTTCTGCCTTCTCCTGGCACCAGCCTCCGGGCCCGGGCCAGCTGCTAGGAGAGCGAGAACACTGTTTCTGAAGGGTGCTGCTTGCTTCTTTGTTCCCGGTTTCCGAAGCGCGAATCCCGAACGCCGTGAGAAACCTCAGGCTCGGGCGGCAGCGCGGGAGTCTGGGGCGCTGGAGGCCGGCGCCGGCTGCGGAGGAGGAGCGCCCTCTAGCGGCAGGTCCGCCCAGGGAGAGGCGGAAACGCGGAGTCTGATTCGAAGGCGGGCACTGGGGACCCTGCCCCGGGCCGAAAGCCCCCTGGAGGACAGTGGTGTTTGGCTTCGGTCCCAACATACAGGCCCTGGGCAGTCGCAGGGATGGCAGCTTTCAAACTGAAACCCAAGAAGTGATCATGCAGACCCTGCCTCAAGTGGCATCACTTCTTAATTGAAAAGAGGCCGAGGCGAGGCGGGAATGAAGGCCACGCTGAAGCCCTGCAGAACAGGGGTGTGTGTGTGTGTGTGTGTGTGTGTGTGTGTGTGTGTGTGTGTGTGTGTGTGTGTGTGTGTGTGTGTGTGTACATGTGTGTAAGGTGTGTGTGTGTGTGTGTGTGTGTGTGTGTGTGTACATGTGTGTAAGCACCACGTGAGGCAAGCAGGGACCCCAAATCCACTGCTAGGGGAGATGCCACAGTGCCCTGCCATGGCACCACTGCTCGTGCCAAGCCTGCCCCATCGACACCGGCCCCACCCAAGGCAAAACCAAGCAGACCCAAACCAGTAACAACTTATCCCCTTAGCCAGAGAGCACCTCCACACAAGTCTATCCTGAGTCCTAAAAGAGGATGGAAAAATCTCAAGTAAAAATCTCATGCCTGTAATCCCAGCACTTTGGGAGGCCAAGGCAGGCGGATCACTTGAAGTCGGGAGTTCGGGACCAGCCTAGCCAACATGGTGAAACCCCATCTCTACTAAAAATACAAAAATTAGCCCGGCATGGTGGTGGGTGCCTATAACCCCAGCTACTTGGAAGGCTGAGGCAGGAGAACCGCTTGAACCAGGGAGGCGGAGGTTGCAGTGAGCGGAGATGGTGCCATTGCACTCCAGCCTAGGGGACTGAGCAAGACTGTGTCTGGAAAAACAAAAATCTCCAGAAACATTCCCACCCCCTCCATACAGCCAGCTCTGAGTCACTGGCTGCTGGCTGGCCAGTCACACAGCACCATGGACATGCAGAGGTACCAGTGGGCACTTGGTGTGTGCTGCCCAGATGAGGACACAGAGTTAGTCAGAAGATTCTCGGGCAAATGGATCCAAAACAGTCCTGGAATGCAAATGTGAAGTATTTCCACAGCCGTGGCAGGAACACATAACTGGCACTATTTATAAGCGATAAAAGGGTTATTTCATGCATCCTCTTTAAGCTGCAAATGCTTCATTTACAAAAGAAAAAAACCTGTCCTTTTCATTCATGAGACTGGCTTAAGGATCAAATGAGATCTGTTTTTAATATAAAGATGTTTTCTTAAAATCTCTGTATGAAATTATCTCCGGAGAGATAGATTCACCATGTTTGCCCTGAGATTTAGAGGCCTCTGCCTGCCACTCCACACCCTGTTTGTGAAGGCCCAAGTCACTCACTATGCAAAGAAGTCATTCCCTCTAGTTAGTGTTAAAACCAGTTATGGGTCTTCCTGGCATGGTGGATAATCCACACGTGGATAATCAAGAGTTGACTATATGGGTTCCTCCCTCCCCTCCCCTTCCACCAGGGATCCCTGACAGAGGCCACAGCGAGACTCTTCAGCGGATGTAGATCATGTCGGAGATGGCTCCAGGCAAGTGGGTCATGATCTGCATTCGCAGCCACCAGTAGTAGTCCATGGGGTGGTAGCGGGTGTAGGGGGTGGTGGCGGTCAGGGCGTGTGTGACAGCATCGATGACAGGGGACGTGTCTGTGGAGCCACTGCTGCAGTAGGTCTCCATCTTGGCGATCTTTTCATCAAAGTACTTCTTGCCGTAGTCCTTGCGCACGACCTCAGGCAGCTCCTCCCACATCTTCTTGGCGATGGCCTGAATGCTCTCAGGGCTGTAAAGGCTGGTGGCAGCGATGAAGTTGCCGGGCTCCACCACGCTGACCTTCACGCCCAGGGGGTACATCTCATAGCGCAGGCAGTCCGAGAAAGCCTCTACCCCGAACTTGGTGATGCAGTACGGGGAGCGGGCCGGGTTGGCCATGCGGCCCAGCATGCTGCTGATATTGACGACGCGGCCTACAGAGGGAGACAGAGGTACCTGCTAAGCCGTTACTGCCCTATGACACAGCGGGCAGAAGTCTGGCATGTCTCTAGAGGCTTGGCTGGAACCACTTCTGAGCCACCCAGGAGCCTTCTCAGTCAATAGGCAAGGCCAGCTCAGGCCCACGCATCAGCATCGGCACCCCTGGTCTTCCCTGGGAACCTGGCTGTGCCAGGCAGGACAGGGGAGGACAAGTGAGTGAGAAGCAGCAGGGCACAGTGTAATGGGCAACACGCAACTGACTCAAAAACCAGATCAAGCCCGATGCGGTGATAATTTGGGGTGAAAACACGAGGGGAGAAGTGGGAGGCGAGACAGCTGTCTGTGTGGATCTGAGCTTTCACTATAGGCAAGGTCTGGTGCTGGTGAGGGAGAAATACAGCCTGAAAGCTTCCCCTTCCCCTTATGGAGCTTAAAGTCCAGCTCCAGTAGTACGACGTGCAGATAAGTAGCACACTAGGGCCAAGTGTCTAGCCACTGACAGCAGCCCTGGCGATGGGGGTTGGAGTGCAGACGAGGAAGTACCTGGGGCTGCAGCTGGGAGGGAGCCCCGGGACAGCCCTGAAAGAGGACAGGACCCGTGCTGTTAGGCCCAACTCCCCAACTCCATTCCACCCTGGTAGGGTGGAGCCTGGGTGGAGACCAGGACCGCCTGGCAAACAGAGCAGCAGGCAGGGGCAGGGGCAGGATTTCTGAACCTGACTTCAGGGCTAGGATATGAGGAGAGAGTCCTGGGCACTGGGAGAGTGTGGTGATCCCCCTCCAAAGGCCACAGGCCCAGCCTGGGGGCATCAGGGGCCTCCCACAGCTCCTCCTGGCCCTGGGAACAGAGGGGTTGGAAGTGGATTGCATTTGGCCCAGCCCGGGAAGCCGAGGCGGATCTGGGACCAGTTTTCCTGGGAGGGAACTCAGCCCATCCAGGTGTGTCCCGGGGAGGGCACTCAGCCCATCCAGGTGTGTCCCCGGGAGGGCACTCAGCCCATCCAGGTGTGCCCCCGGGAGGGCACTCAGCCCATCCAGGTGTGCCCCCGGGAGGGCCCTCAGCCCATCCAGGTGTGCCCCCGGGAGGGCACTCAGCCCATCCAGGTGTGCCCCCGGGAGGGCACTCAGCCCATCCAGGTGTGTCCCCGGGAGGGCACTCAGCCCATCCAGGTGTGTCCCCGGGAGGGAACTCAGCCCATCCTGGGGGAGGCACCTTTCAGAAAGCTCTAAATTTGAAGTCACTGAAGGGTTGGGGTTTCCATCTAAAATCCTACAGCTGCAGTCTGTGTTCATGCTTGTTGTTGCTAGGACTTCACCATAGATGTATGGATCTTACCCTTTTTGCCACAATTGTTTGCTATGCCAGAGAAAAAAATCCAAGTCAATGACTTCTAAAGTGGTTTGCTCACATTTGGCCACCCACATGGTTTGGGTGTTTTGTTGGTTTTCCAAATTTCTAATCTTGATTTTTACTATTGTTCCCTAATACCACAATGATCTCATTTTTTAAACTACGATATAAATAACCCATAGAATGAATATGCCAGATTTTACTAACCACACCTGACTGATACAAAGATGTGTACACACAGCTTTGTGCAAAGGGTGATTCTCTCTATAGATTAGGTGTGCAGAGTGGATGGCTGCTCAACTCTTTAAGCTTTTGCTGCATGGACCACTGACCTCTTACCTGCTCTGCTTCCTCCTCCCCTACCCGGCCACAGCCCCTCTGCCCACCATCACCCCAGGCCCAGCATAGTCCCTGGGATTCACGAGCTCACCTCTGCTGAGTTGTGGACATTGGAGCTGCTGGGACAGGTATTTCCATTCTGAGCAAAGATGAACACGTGGGGCAGGTTCAGGGGCAGGAGGGAGCTCCCTTTCCCACTCACCTTTGGCCCTTCGGATGAGGGGGAGAAAGGATTTCGTCATCCGCACTGTGCCCCAAAGGTTCACTTCTGCCACCTGCTTGTAGGTCTCCAGGCTGGTGAACTCCACCTCCCCGAACGTTGAGATGCCGGCATTGTTAACGAGGCCCCACATGCCTGGACAGGAGAGGGATAGATGTGCATTTACCACATGGGCTTGGCCCAGACATTGCCCATCAGCCTGCAGGCCAGCCTCCTCTCTGCTTCTTTCCTGTGACTTCCCAGCCTCTCGCCCAGTGCTCTCAAGAAACTTTCTAGAGTCACTCAGGAACGACAGGAGGTAAAGAGGCCTAAAGTGCTGACTGCAGCCCTCCCTTGCGTCTAGAATGTCCAGTCCTCACGTCACATCTGCCTGGCTCGAGTCTCTGGGCCCATCATGACCCAGCCTGCCGTGTCCCCCGGCCTTCAGTCTCACCTCACCTCAAATTCCCACTTCCACTCCACTCCACCCCATCCCATCCCCACACCCTGAGTTTGAGTTTCACGCCCCGTTCCTGTTTACTCATCTCTGCCCTTGAGCTTTTGCTCACGTCTTCTCTTCTCTTGCCAGAAGCCAGGGAAATCACAGGGGAGGTGGGCACGAGGAGGCAGCTGTGTTTTGCAGGGACCTCTCTGAGTTCAGTTTGTTGGGGTGCAAAGGCTGGATGGGTCAGAGCCTCAGGACAGAGCTGGGCCCTGCCTCTTTGTTGTGGAAACCCTCAGTGTTTGGTCTCCCGGGCCGATAGCCCCGTGCTCCTTCCCAAGGCACAGCCTCAGAGCAGAGCTCCCATCCTGGGGCCCTCCCCTGCCTGTGGGAACTCGGCGCTGCTTTATTTTCCAAGTTAATCATGGAAATGAGTTTGTGTAAATGACAGAGTAATTGGTCTCTAGCTGCTTTCCTTCCGTGTTACCCAAATTAAAGCTTCATTCACTGCCCTCTGGTGCCTTCTCCTTCAATTATGGAGAATTAAGGGCATTTATTAGGGAAAGGAAATTGCTGGTTAACAGAGTGTCCATGAAGAGCTCACTCCCACTCTCCACCAAAGCCTTGCGGGTGTCTCCCTGCTCTAGGTCTCACCTGTGACCTCGCTCAGATGCTAATGACAGGATCAGCGTCATCCACGACCCCACAGCTCCCACTGTCTCCCTGCAGACGCGCCCTGAGTCTTCACCTTCTTCTCTTCCCAGGAGGAGCAGCAGGCCACTCCCCACCCGTCATGGCTGACACTTCCACGTCATCTTCGAGACCATAGCCACTGATCCTTCTCTCTCTTTTACACAATTTCAGCTTTTCCACTGCCCATGACTCCATCCCTTCAGTTCTATACACATTAGGAGCTCAACAAATGTGTGTTAGATGAATGAGTGTCCACAAATACCGCATTTCCATATCCCGAAGATCCTTCTGTAACTGTGCTACCTGCTCTCCCTCCCTCCACGCCAGGCTTCCAAGAACTCTATCCTGTAATACAAAGATTAGCCGGGTGTGGTGGCGGGCACCTGTAGTCCCAGCTACTCGGGAGGCTGAGGCAGGAAAATCTCTTGAACCCAGGAGGCAGAGGTTGCAATGAGCCGGATCATGCCACGGCACTCCAGCCTGGGTGACAGAGCACGCACACACACACACACACACACACGCGCGCGCGCGCGCTCTATCCTCTCCATCTCCCTTCCATACCACACTGGGTCCCAGCCCTCAGCTGTCCTGACCACGCAGTCTCCAGGGTCTCCAGGGTGGTACACCAAGGACCTCACCCCCAGTCTTCACTCTCCTCAGGCTCGCTACGATATGAGTACTGCCAGTACTCCTTGAGGCTCACCTCTCCCTCAGCATTAGTGATACCCAGGCATCTCCTGCATCTTCCCTGACACCTTTCTTTCACCTGCCCCCAGATACAAGTGGCCCCCAATGTCCTGGCCTAATCCTGCTCCTCTCAAAGTACACTTAACTCTTAGGTGTCCTCATCTTCTTCATGTTTGTGAATTTTGCAGCCGTTTTGTGTTTGATTCATAACGGACAATATCCCATGACTTAAAATGCATACAGCCCTTTCTCTACCTAAAAATAAAACAATGACATTTGACGCTACTATCCAAAAAAGTTTAATGAAACATGACCTGTGAAAGTGCACAGCCCCTGGATTACAGCTTTAATGAGTGTTGAGAGTGGTGGACCTAGTTGCCATCTGGAATCCTCAGCCAATGTTCTGAATAAACTCACGGAGGCATGCCCGCTGGTTGGGTGACAGCAACTTTCCTGTAACATCCCCAAGATCGCCTCCGCACCAGTGGCCCCTCAGTTCTCCTTGGGAGTCACGGCTCTCTCTCCTCATCCCATCTCCTGTCTCGCTTCCACCTGAATGTCCCACGGGTCCCTGACTCACCCTAACCACAACCAACACGTCAAGTTTCCAAGCTGCCCAAGCCTGCTCCTCCTCTTTGTTAATGATTTTACTTTTGTCTGTGACTCCTCCAGCTCCTCCACCCCTCCCCCACCTACTGAGTCACCCAGTACTGCTAATATTACAGCTCAAGATCAACATGACAGCTGGCAGACCCCTAATCAAGCCCTTTACATTCATTAACTTCCCTGATCCTCACAACCACCCTGGAAAATAGATCCTAAATTGTCTCATATCCGGTTGAGGCAACTGAAGCTCAGAGAGGTTAAGCACCTTGGTCAATGTCACCCAGCTAACAGGCAGGGAGGGTGGGATTTGGACCCAGATCTCTCTGAGGACAAAGTCCCCACGCCCCAGGCTGTTGCTGGTTTCCTCTGCTGGGTCAGTTCTTCCTTCCTGTTTCCACTAGCATTCCCTTGGGTCCTCGCTGCCTGTCTCCTGGGCTGCTGGAGAAGCCTCCTGGGTCTGTTTGTCTCACTCACTCCTCCACCTCCGTCTTCACCCCACCCCTCAGGCAGACCCATCAGTCACTTCCTGCTCTATGGTCTCCATCCCCCCTCAGGCCGACCCCCGCATCAGTCATTTCCTGCTCTATGGTCTCCATCCCCCCCTCAGGCCGACCCCCGCATCAGTCATTTCCTGCTCTATGGTCTCCATCCCCCCCTCAGGCCGACCCCATCAGTCACTTCCTGCTGTATGTCTCCATCCCCTCCTCAGGCTGACCCCCCCACCCCATCAGTCATTTCCTGCTCTATGGTCTCCATCCCCCCTCAGGCCGACCCCCTCATCAGTCATTTCCTGCTCTATGGTCTCAATCCCCCTTCAGGCCGACCCCCCCATCAGTCACTTCCTGCTCTATGGTCTCCATCCCCCTTCAGGCCGACCCCCCCATCAGTCACTTCCTGCTCTATGGTCTCCATCCCCCCTCAGGCCGACCCCCCCAATCAGTCACTTCCTGCTCTATGGTCTCCATCCCCCTTCAGGCCGACCCCCCCATCAGTCACTTCCTGCTCTATGGTCTCCATCCCCCCTCAGGCCAACCCCCTCATCAGTCATTTCCTGCTCTATGGTCTCCATCCCCCTTCAGGCCGACCCCCCCATCAGTCACTTCCTGCTCTATGGTCTCCATCTCCCCCTCAGGCTGACCCCCCCAATCAGTCACTTCCTGCTCTATGGTCTCCATCTCCCCCTCAGGCTGACCCCCCCCATCAGTCACTTCCTGCTCTATGGTCTCCATCTCCCCCTCAGGCTGACCCCCCCCAATCAGTCACTTCCTGCTCTATGGTCTCCATCTCCCCCTCAGGCTGACCCCCCCAATCAGTCACTTCCTGCTCTATGGTCTCCATCTCCCCCTCAGGCTGACCCCCCCCATCAGTCACTTCCTGCTCTATGGTCTCCATCTCCTCATCAGGCTGACCCCCCCCAATCAGTCACTTCCTGCTCTATGGTCTCCATCCCCCCTCAGGCCGACCGCCCCCCATCAGTCACTTCCTGCTCTATGGTCTCCATCTCCCCCTCAGGCTGACCCCCCCAATCAGTCACTTCCTGCTCTATGGTCTCCATCTCCCCCTCAGGCTGACCCCCCCCAATCAGTCACTTCCTGCTCTATGGTCTCCATCTCCCCTCAGGCCGACCCCCCCCCATCAGTCACTTCCTGCTCTATGGTCTCCATCCCCCCTCAGGCCGACCCCCCCCATCAGTCACTTCCTGCTCTATGGACTCCATCCCCCCCTCAGGCCGACCTCCCCGATCAGTCACTTCCTGCTCTATGGTCTCCATCTCCCCCTCAGGCTGACCCCCCCGATCAGTCACTTCCTGCTCTATGGTCTCCATCCCCCCCTCAGGCCGACCCCCCCGATCAGTCACTTCCTGCTCTATGGTCTCCATCTCCCCCTCAGGCTGACCCCCCCAATCAGTCACTTCCTGCTCTATGGTCTCCATCCCCCCTCAGGCCGACCCCCCCCATCAGTCACTTCCTGCTCTATGGTCTCCATCCCCCCTCAGGCTGACCCCCCCCATCAGTCACTTCCTGCTCTATGGACTCCATCCCCCCTCAGGCCGACCCCCCCCCATCAGTCACTTCCTGCTCTATGGACTCCATCCCCTCCTCAGGCCGACCCCCCCCATCAGTCACTTCCTGCTCTATGGTCTCCATCCCCTCCTCAGGCCGACCCCCCTCATCAGTCACTTCCTGCTCTATGGTCTCCATCCCCCCTCAGGCTGACCTCCCCGCCCCATCAGTCACTTCCTGCTCTATGGTCTCCATCCCCCCCTCAGTCACTTCCTGCTCTATGGTCTCCATCCCCCCTCAGGCCGACCCCCCAATCAGTCACTTCCTGCTCTATGGTCTCCATCCCCCGCTCAGGCACCCCCCATCAGTCACTTCCTGCTCTATGGTCTCCATCCCCTCCTCAGGTGGATCCCCCCATCAGTCACTTCCTGCTCTGTGGTCTCCATCCCACAGCATGGTAGGCCAGGCCTTTTCCAAGCTTCTCCCTTACTCCTCCACATATGTTCTGCTGCCTGTCAGCCTGCGAGCAGCTTGTGTTGAAATTCTTCCCATGCTCTTGTAGTGGTCTGATCCAGGCATGAGTGCTGGACGGCTCAGAGCACTCTCCCACTTCACAGATGGGCAAGCTGAGACCCACACAGGGGGCAGGTGCAAGCCCAAGATCACATTTCTAATAAGTGAAGCCCAGGTCAGGCGTGGTGGCTCAGGCCTATAATCCCAGCACTTTGGGAGTCCAAGGCAGGTGGATCACCTGAGGTCAGGAGTTTGAGACCAGCCTGGCCAACCTTGTGAAACCCCTTCTTTACTAAAAAAAAAAAAAAAATTAGCTGGGCATGGTGGCAGGCGCCTGTAATCCCAGCTCCTCGGGAGGCTGAGACAGGAGAATCACTTGAACCCGGGATGTGGAGGTTTCAGTGAGCCGAGATCGCACCATTGCACTCCAGCCTGGGCGGCAGAGTAAGACTCTGTCTCAAAAAAATTAATTAATTAATTAATTAATGTTGACTGACTGACTGGTAAGTGATGTGCCAAGATCAGGCCATGCCCACGGCCTGCTCTCGGGCCCACTGGCTCGGTGTCCCCTGGGGTGGGGACAGGGAGGGCTGGTCCCAGGCTCCAGATGTCCTGTCCCTCAGCGTCCTGCGGGGGTCGGGGCCGGTGGCAGATGGCTCTGTGGCTCTCACCAGACAATCTCCTTCATCTCGCCCCCGTGGCTGGCTCCCCGGGCTTTGGCAGCAACTGTTCCACAGAGCCAGGCTGCAGGGCGTCAAACTCGCCAACCAAATGTGCCCCCCCGGTGGAGAAGGGGAAGAGGACCCTTCTGACATGTCCTGCATGGGGTGTGGGTCGGTGGCGGCCACTGCGGGTCGGAACGCTCTGGGAGGGTGCTCCCTGGAGTTCACAGCCGGCATTGCCTGAGGGGGAATTGCCAAGGCAAGGCCAAGACATGGCAGAGTGGCAGAGTGTGGAGGGGAAGCAGGGAGAGGGAGGAGAGGGAGACGGGAAGAAAGCGAGAGCAGGAGATGGGGGACACGCCACTGCATATCTGACGGATGTACTGTTTTCTTCAGACCTAAAAGTCTTCAAATCCTTTTCCAAAAAAAAAAAATGCAGTATCGGTTAAGGAAGTTGATGGTGAGAGGTTCATCCAGCCCTCCGGAATGCCCGGCGTGGGAAAAGCAGCAGGGAAAGGTCTGCGCGTCAGGCTGGTGCTGGGGTTGGAGCCCAGATCCCCGGGCAGGGGGTGAGTGCCTCCCCTCTGTGTGGGCCGGGGCCCACCCTGCCTTGTAGGTTAGGCTGCCTGGCCAGTCCAGTACAGACAATGGAAGTGATTCTGCCCCAGAGTCAGGGGGGCAGGGGACGAGGACCGCCAGCCTGAGCAAGCCGGCCTGGTGCGTTCTCTGCTTGGGTCTCCGGTGATGACGCCTTTCCACGGGCATTTTAGATCACCACAAAACCCACGCTATAATCAAGTGGCTTTATGGTGCCGATGCAGCTGTTTTCCTGCCCAGTAGTTTATGAAGGAAAATATAGCAGCTGCCCAGGGAAGGTGGGAGGGAGGAGAATTTACCGCCAGGGAAGGGCGAAGCAGGCTGCAGGTTCTGAGCCGGTAATCACCCCAGCGGGACCCATCCTGCCTTTTCTTAATGGGCTGGCTCTGCCTGTTAATTATTAAACAGATGTTCAGCGAGAACAGAGAACAGAGAGGCCTGTGAATGGCCTGTTGGGAGGATGGGAGCGACAGTGGGCTGATGAGGTGGCACATCAGAGACAGGCAGAGGAGCGGCATCACCGACAGCCACACACGCAGCCTCTGAGGCAGCTGCTGTGACAGACAGCACATCCATCTGGCTGATACAGGCTCAGCAGAGCTCCCCGCATGGGATCTGGTCACTCCTGCCTTTTCCGCCTCCTTCCCCAGCCACTGAAGTAGCTGCTCCTGAGAGCTGCCCCACCCCATTCTGAGGGAAAGCAGAGGCCTGAATGACGCACACCCTTTCTGCCTGGGCTGTCAGGGAGCTCAAAGGTAAACTTCATAGATTCGCTTCTCCAGATGCTGCTGGGCGGCCCGGCTCCAGGGAGCTCCATCCCCCACTGCTGTATTCTACATGAATGGCACCCCGAGGTTGCAGACAGAGCTCCTCCCACAAGGCCCTCCACTGGCTGAACTGGAAGGATATTTTAGTCCTTATGCTACTGGAACTTTCTGTAGCTTTTGACCCTGTTGGCTACTGGTACTGCCCTCTCCTCCAAACTTTCTGTTGTTTAGCCTCTGGGGAACTGTATCCAACCTCTCTGACAGCTGCCTCTCCCCCTCCTCTGATCCCCGAACACTCACATTCCCAGGGGTCCCTCTGTGCATCTCCCCGACTCCCAGTGTCACCTGCCGTGGGCACCTGCTCTTCTAGCCTGGACATTCCCTCAGGGTGGGCGCTTCAGTGTCTCCCTATCTCCCCACCTGCTCCTGCAGTGCGGGGCACCAGGTGTCCAGGACAGAGACTTCGCGCCTCACCTCATCCCCACATCCAAGTCACCAAGTCCAGGCAGCTTCGCCTTCTCAACACTCCTCGCACCTGACCCTTCCTGTTTCCCAACACCTACCACCCTAGTTCCGGAGTCCAGAACCCATGTTTAACTCCCGCTTTGAATCCACCTTCACATTGCCACTGCCATCCTCAGAGGGAGATTCACAAGTCTCACAATGACCAGGCCATTCCCTCAGGATGACCCCTTCAGTGGCTCCCCAGTGCCATTGGGAGACCAGCCATGTTCCCTCGCCTGGGATCCAAGACCTCCCTCCCCAACCTCCTTTGCTGCCACCCCCTCTGCGTGACCTGACCCATGACTCATATTGAGGTGCCGGCTAATCCCACCACTTGACCAACAGCCCCCGCTACCCTCCCCGTGCTCCTCGAAGCTGTGGTTCCTGCTCTCCCCTCCTCTTGGAACAACCATATCTGCTCTCTGCCACAATCTGCCTTAACTGGCCTATTTCCACTGCGCCCCCATGGCTGGACTGACCCCTCCTTCCTGTGCTGCTCTGCCTCTCTCAATGCACGGCTCCCTGATTTTGAACTCAGTCCTCCGGCTGAACTATGAGGTCCTGGGGACAGAATGTGCCTTGACCATCTTTGTGTCCCTGGCACCCAACCCAGCTCCTGGGCCAGAGGGGGCATCAATGGGCATTGGCTGAACTGACCTGAATCAGTGCGTAGCCACCTAGCACTCCGTGAACTCTGAAATCACCTCCTGACTGTATTTTTCCATTGCCCTATTGCACGTGTATGTTTAGTGTAATCCTCTTCCTCCTACTGTGCAGGAGGAAGAGCCTAAACAATAAGGAAGGGAGTGTGGTGGCAGGATGCCAGCCAGTGGAAGGTGGTGTTCGGCAAGTGCCCCTTGGAATGGCCCCATACACAACCCCTGCCGTCCGAAGGGGCGCCCTACCTTTCTCAGGGTCCTTCAGGCTCGAGCGGACAATCTCCACCACTTTCTCCACCTCTTCGCTGCTGCAGACATTGAGCTGGACGGTTCTCAATCGGTCACTGTTTAGGCTGTCCAGCTCCTTGACCCCATCATGGCCTTTGTCCTGGGGAGGAGAGAAGAGCTGCTTCTACCTCCTTCCTTCCCACCCTGAGGCAGACCCTGAGGACTCCTGTCAAGGCAGGAGCTGGCCTCAAGTCCCAGCCAAAGCCTCAGGCATACTGGCAACTGCCCATGGGCCTGGCCCACCAGCATGCGGTTCTTTTTAATCCTGAGCACTGATGACCTATCAAGCATCAAGCTATGTGCCACAGACACAACCATGAATAGGATGAAGAGCCGGCCCCCAAGGCCTCAAGACAGGATTCCTTCTCCAAGCAGGGGTTGCAAACTTATGTGGGGCAGGCGGGGGCCCTGGGGAGTACAGGACATGTCAGGAATTACCACGTGGGGATGGAAACCCAGGGTTGCCAGATGCTTACATTTTTAAGCTAGTAATTGGGAAATCTCTTCATTCTTTTAAGTGTTGGCAACTTACACACATTTAAAAAAAAAAACAAAAAAACACTGTGAAGGCCAAAGCACGTCCACAGGCCACATAGGACCAGCAGGCTGCCAGTTTGCCACCTCTGTTCTAAGCCAAGGGCCCATCAACTCCAAATTGGTAAGAGGCCAGAGCCAGCCTCTAATCCCAGCTCAGTCACTGAGTAGGCTTTGTGCACTCAGGGGTGTCCCTGAACAGGGGTCCATTTTTTCTGGCTGTAAAACAGGAACATCACCACCTGTCCTGACCTGCTCAGATTAATGGAGTAAGGAAATGGATTTGTAAGAAGCCTGTTAAAGAGTCTAAAGCACCACACAAATTCAGGTACTGCTAAACAGGAGAAAGGCGTCACTCGCTCGGCAAACATTTCTTGGGCCCCTATCGTGTTCCGGCACTGTGCTAGGAACTGGAGGTCAAGATCAATCATTCAGCCCCTGTTCCCAGAGTCGTGTTCTAGGGAAGGAGACAGGTGAGCACGTAAGCGACACAGTGACTGTGTGCTGTATGGAACCTGGCGGGAGGTGGGAGGGGCACAGGAGGGACGGGCAGGGGAGACCTTCCAAAGGCAGTGACAGCTGAGGACATTCACAAGAGGGGGCCGATGGGGACGGGGCACTGTGGGAAGAGATAAGAGGACGCCACCAGAAGCCATTGGTTGCAGGCAGTGCAGACGCATAAGGAGGTGGTGGATGCAGGGCTGGAGAGGAGGGCAGGGGTCTGCTTGTGGGCACTGCCGAGCTGCTGGGGGGCTTTCCTCTAAGTAGACAGCATTTCCCGAGTGTCCACTGTCCTGAGCACTGTGCTAAGTGCTGATGTGCTTTGTCACGTGCACCCTCGTGTCACCAGGCAGGCTGCATTGTCACATTTCATCCTATTCTATGAAACATGGTTTCTTTCACAATAGGGATGAGCTACACTCGATGTGAAAATTAAACATAGTTGGTCATAAATGACTTAATTGGCAGCAATTTTCCTGAATGGTGCATGGCATAGTGACACCTCTTGTAAGAGGACAGGACTAGCAGCCAAGAGTAAAGGGGTAGAGAAATGCCCACTCGCCAGCCAAGGGCTTGCCCATGGCACACACAGCTGCTACTGAAGCAAACATCCCAGGCGCGGGCAAGGGTGGAAAGCCCAGGACGGTCAGCACTTGTCAGGGGTGGAAAGTCCTCCGCTGGTTAGGCTGAGCCTTCTGAATGCTTTCAACCAGAAGAACCCCAACCCCGGGAATGGAGAAATCACATCATGCAATTTCAGAGGGCACAGGAGGAAATGGTGAAGGGACTGCCCAATGGGGCCGGAGGTGCTGGACGTAGTCACCCCGGAGAGAAGACTTGAGTGGAACATGACTGAGGGAGCCAGCTTGTTCCATGCAGCCACAGAGAACAGAGCCAGGACCAAGAAGTCCAGCTCAGCTCAAAATGAGGCGTGATCTTCACAGTCTGGAGATGGCATGAGCTGCCTGGAGGTGTTGAGGCAATGAGTTGGGGTGGGGGGTTGTTTGGAGGTAGGAGGGATGTTTGGGGGTTGGGGGGATGCTTGAGGATGGGGTGTGGGAAAGGTGGTACAGAGACAATCCCGGCATTGGACAGGAGGTCGGGCTGATCTCCCCTACCTAACACCGCTTCCGTTCCTGGACTGTCGTCTTCACCGCCTGGTTTTCCATGGAAAGGAAGCCTCCCCAGTGGCCCTTTGAAAAGGCACTGTGGCGTGGCCCGCTAAGTCTCTGCAGAGGCACCAGGGATGCCTTCGGACACAGCAGCCAGGCCGGAGGCTCGATGGTCTAAAGTTTGGCTCTGAAATCCCCTAGGTGCGCCGACCTTCCCAAACAAGACGCAGGCATGAGATGCACGGGACAGATGGGCCTGGAGCTCAGGCTGTCATTCCCACAGAGGACTCCACCAAGAAAGAACTAATGCATCTTCAGGTCTAGGGTGTGATGACGTGGTGCCTGCAGACCCCTCTCTTCCACAGGCGGCACACAGGTACCAGGAAAACACGTGTCTTGCTTTAATGCAGTCTTCCACCTGGTGGCCCTTCAAATGCCCCTTGGCGTGGAGCTCACATGATCTGAACCTCAGAAAGGTGGATTCTAGCTGACATGCACAAGAGGTATCTAAATGTCCTTCCTCTTGGGACTTGGTTAACCCTGTTGCTATCATTCAGCTCTTCTCAGACCCCTATACAAGACCTCTCTGGTGCCCCTACACAGCATCACGACAAGGTCCCTGCAGTCCTCAGGGGAAACCCCCGACTCCAAGTCAGTAAACTCTTAATTTGGCAGTTTGACAGTGAAGAGTCTTCTTTCAGAGGAAACTAGGGGATTAATCTCACTGCCCACGGCTTCAGGCTCCCGAGGAGAGCAACGCTACCCTCCTATCTTCACTGACAGACCCACCCCAGGAACCCTCACCTGCCTTTGGGCAGCCTCCACACCCTGCTCCTGACAACCACGCCAATAGGGACAGAAACTACCAATTTGCCCCCAGTTATTCAGAGAAATCTTTCCAACCACCCTCAGCCTGCTGGCTGCAGACTCTGGTGGCCTGTCCCCCTCAGGGTCTACCTGTCCTCAGGCCAAGACTGCCCCGCAGGCCACACCACCTCCCTGGACCCAGGGTTTCTGTGCTCCCTCTGCAGGTCTCCGTGCTCCCTCTGCAGGTCTGTGTGCTCCCTCTGCTGGTCTCCGTGCTCCCTCTGCAGGTCTCTGGAGTCTCTGTCCACCTCTGTCTGGCTGCTCAGGGACAAGCTTTTAGTTCCGCTGTGTTGGTGCGTGTGCAACTGGCTTATTGATAAACCCACTTCTTTATCTTACTGTCCCTTTCAACCTCACCTGTAAGCTATTTTTTCCAGCCCTGGATGAAACTTCAGGCAAGTTGTATAGCTTTTCCACTCATTCTCAGACAGTGGACAGAGAGCCTCTTTGTTTTGGCATGAAGAGTCCTGTTCAGTCTCTTAAGCAAATAATTCCAGCCCAGCCTGGTTTGAGAACCCAAACTCCCAAACTTGTATGCGAGGTAAAGCTTTCCCCTGCCCAGCCCTGAGGGCTGTGGGAAGTAGGTGCTGGTGGAGGTTGTCTTTCTCACTGTTTTCTAGCTCCTCTCCCCTCCTATTCTTAACTTCTGACCCTTCCAAGGTTGGATCCGGGGCAGCAAATTAGGGGCAAGACTGTAGTCGTCTGAGGCTGGCTAATGTCTGCTGTTGCTGCCCCTGAGAGAGCAGGTGCACAAAAGCCAGCTCTTCCTTCTTGGGGTGCTTCTGTGGAGTCTACAAAGATTCTGCCACGGAGACCTCCGACTGCCACTCCAGACGCAGGGCAGCGTGCCTCCCCCAGCCGGGCATCTGCTCCCTCAGCCCCTGGCCTCAGTGATGTACCCGCTTCTGGCTGGGGCCACATGGATCCTCCCAGCCAGCTCACTGGATGGTTACCCTTAAGGTGACTCCAAGCAGCTCTCTCCACTGTCCACACAGGGCCAGGCAACTGTTTCCTGCCCAGGTAGAAGGATAGCCCTCTCCCGACCAGCTCTCCGTGCTCCGCTCCCAGACGAGCCACTCCTGTCTCAATCTCGGGCCTTTAGACTTCTTCTGGTGGACATTAGCATCACACTCTGTGGCCTCCAGACTCCAGGGCACACATGGTAAGCCAAGAAGCTCTCCGGGGAGTTCAAGAACTTGGAGAAGTCCAGAAGCTCTCCAAGGCATTCATATGAAGCCCACCTCATTTTACTTGCCATCAGAGGGAAAATATCAGCACACTAACAACTCTTTCCAGTCGCTCAACCTCTTCTATTTCCATTTCTTATAATACTGAGGCAGCCAATGAGCTGATTCTGGCAGAAAGGTTTTTGTCTCTAGCATATATGTTCAGGTGGTTTAGCACCTCAGGGAAGAACATGAGGACACTCGACACATGTTATACGTCAGCATCTTATCACATGTGTTAGAAACACTTCAGAGAGGAGCGAGCCTGGGCACTGTGATGTTCACAGGATGGGCAGGAGGAGGAGCTAGCAAGCAAGATGGGGAAGAACCCTGAGAGCATAGAGTCAAGAAACGAAGTGTTACGAGCAAGGGTGGTTTATTTGGTCAAAAGCTGCTGCTGGGTTGAGCATGATGTGGTCTGAGAAGTGGCCAATGGATTTGGGAAAATGGGGGCTGTTGATATCCTTGATAAAAGCTGGGTCAGAGGCACTCATGGACCTTCCTGGTCTGGTCCTGCCTTCTTTTCCCAGCCCACCAGGGCACTGGGCTTTGGCGACCTCAAACTACTGGCAGTGCCTCATATGCCACCTGCCCCCATTTCGCAGGGAGCCCCCGTTCATCTTTCCAGATGGTGGTGAGACGCCACCTCTCATTAAGCCTTCCCTATGCTGATACAAGATCTGCTCCCGTGCCCCTCACTTCACTCTACTCCCCCCTCATTCTGCTTCAGCCACAGAGGCTTCATGCTGTTTCTCAGATGCACCCTGCACACTCCCTCCTGGAGCTCTGTACTGCACTGTCCCCTCTTCCCCTGGATTTCTGTGACACTCCCTCCCGCACCTCCTTGGTTTCTGTGACACTCCCTCCTGCACCTCCTTAGTTTCTGTGACACTCCCTCCCGCACCTCCTTGGTTTCTGTGACACTCCCTCCCGCACCTCCTTTGGATGAGGGAGCTCCAATTTACCTTCTTGGTGTGATCTTTCCTCCCTCTTGAAAATCTGACACCCCGTCCACCATGCTTTATCTTCTTTTCCTGTTTTATTTTTCTCTACTGCTTTTACCACCCTGCAGAGAAGCAATTTACTTATCTTATTCCTTGCCTATCATCCCCCCTTGGAATATAAGCTCCGCAAGGGCAAGAACTTCTCACTGAGGTGTTATATGCTGTATCTCCAACAGGGAACACTGTCAGCTTATCTTAGGTGCTCAGTAAATATCTGCTGAATAAATAAACAAGTAAATAAACATCGTGATGGGGCAAAGCCTGATCCAGGTGGGTTGCACCCCCTCTGGGGGTGCTTTTCTGCAACAAGGAGCAGAGCCGTGGGGAGGTAATGTACACAGGGTGTGGTGGTGTAGGTCTGTATGAGTGAGTGAGTGAGTGTGTGTGTGTGTGTGTGTGTGTGTGTGCATGTGCTGAAATGACCCAGGAGAGAGCGTGGAGCCAGTGACGTAGGAGGTGGCAGACATCTGCTGGAGCTAAGTCCCTGAGTTGGCCAAAGGCAATGAGATATGAGAGATAAGAGGAACACTAATTCTGAACAAGAGCAGAGAGAGTGTTTAGGTACAGATGTAGCCGGAATCCATCATGGGGCTAACACTACAGAATCGGGCTAGAAGCAAATTCCCCCTTTCAACCCCCACGGTGCCTTATCCAAAGCCTCTGGTGGTGCTAACTGCTTTCTGACTTGCCTGACTGATCTCAGATAGCAGATGGAATGGGTCAAGAGGTAGATACCAACAGATATAACCTGCCAATGAGCTTGTCTGGTACTTTCTTCAAAATACCAGTCAACCAATTCTAGAATCACTGTTGCAGGAGTGGAAGGATCTAAGATCACCAGTCCAATCCTATTAGGGTAAGTAAGAGGAAACTGAGGCCCAGGGAGGGGACATGTTTGTCCCCTTCCGGGGTTAGTGGTCAGTCTAGGACTAGAACCGAAGGCCCTTTTGAAGAGTCTTCTGCAGCATCGAGCAGCCTCTGCCCTGTGCTGTGGAATCTGACTGTGGCTCCCTGTGTCACTGGATAAGCCAGCACAATGGCACAGAAGCCTAACATAGGACAAGGGACTTTACAACATTTTTATGGCATCATGGTTCTTGCTGGGACCCGCTGAGGTAGGTCCACATTCTGCAGAAGAATCCAGCACCAGGGATGCCACACCCATTCCCCAGAACCCTCCCCAGACGGGTTCTCTTGAGCACTGTCAGGAGAGCGACAGCCTTTCAGGAAAGCAGTTTGGGGATTTGAACAAAACCTAAAACCTGCACACCTTTGCAACTTGCACTTTCACATCTACGAAATGTTCCTAAGAATCGCCAGTGGAAGGAGGCAAAGATATATGTGCAAGATGGCTCACCCAGGCTTTGTTAATACCGGTTGAGCATCCCTAATCCAATAATCCCAAATCTGAAATGTTCCAAAATCTGAATTTTGAGTGCTGACATGATGCTCCAGGGAAATACTCATTGGAGCACTTTGGATTTTGGATTTTCAGATCAGAGATGCTGAGCAAGTATAATGCAAATATTCCAAAATCTGGAAAAATCCAAAATCCAAAACACATCTGGTCCCAAGCATTTCAGATAAGAGATACTCGACCTGTAATAGCAAAACTCACAAATAATGTATACACCTGCATTTAAGCTGCCTTGGAGCAAGAGATTGGGAAGACTTCACTTTTTTACATAATATACTTCTGTATTATTTGAATTTATTATGAATATGTAGTATTACTTTCACAATTCAAAGAAGTAAAGATTAAAAGGACAAACAAAACCTTCTCTGATCCAGATGGAATGATGTTTAGAGCATGGCAATATAAATGATTTCTTTTACTTGTTTATATTATTGAAATTTTACGTTGGGTATCAAATATTACAAAGATATCAACATAGTATGGGAAATTCCTCCCCTGGGTTCCTACTGGCTTGAAAATAAAGAAAAATGTCTCACCCACCGAGCAGAGAAAGCAAGTTGTCCTGAATGCCCACTCTTCCCTTCATCCTTCTTCTATAGCAGTAGAACGCCTGACATTTTAGGCCGGGTACATATTGTCTCAGAATACTCACTACATTTTCCAGCCTTCCTTGCAGCCAGGTAAGGCCATGTGACTAAGTTCTGGCCAAGAGAATGAGAGCACAGGTGATATCTGCAGAGGAAGCTTCTGGGTCATGTCCTTAAAGAACAGGGGTATGCACTCAGAAGAGAAATACAATAAAAACAACACTGAGGTACATTTCCCACCTATCAGACTGGCAAAAACCAAAAGCTTGATGCATACTCTGTTGGTGAAATTGTGTGGAAATAGGCACTCATGCACTCCTGGAGGGAATGTAAAATTACATGACCCCTAGGATGGAAAATTTGGGAATATCTTTAAAATGACAATATATTTTATTTACACTCTGATCTAAGAGCAATCTCACTCCCAAGGAATTTACTCTAAAGATAACCAGTCTGACCAACATGGTGAAGCCCCCTCTCTACTAAAAATACAAAAATTAGCCAGATGTGGTGGTAGGCACCTATAATCCCGGCTACTTGGGAGGCTGAGGCAGGAGAATTTCTTGAACCCGGGAGGTGGAGGTTGCAGTGAGCCGACACTGGGCCATTGCACTCCAGCCTGGGCAACAAGAGCAAAACTCCATCTCAAAAAAAAGAAAAAAAAAAAAGATAACCCCCCAATAATAACAAAAATACAAAGTTATTCATTGTGGCATTATTTGTAATTGCAAAATATTGAAAACACCTAAATGCTCATTTACAGGAGATTTTGATGAAGTAAATTATGATCCGCCCACTCAGTGGGTGCTTCAAAGCTGTGAACAAAGTGAAAAAGATCTCTGTGAGGTCATACAACCTGATTTCCAAGGTATATTGTTGATGTTTTAAAAAACCAAAGAGTATATGCAATATGCAAACACTTGTGTAACATGGGGAAAAATGAAGGAATGGAGTGGAACAGATAGGGGTGAGGGAATAACGCTACTTTGATTTTACCAATTTGTATAATTTTTGCCTTTACAGCCTTGTTAACAGTTTACATATTCAGAAATTAAATTACATCAACAAGAATCAACAACAAGGAAAACAGATCACAAATAAATGGCATTATATTTCAAATAAATAATACAGCGATAAAGAAAAAACAAAAATTAATACAAGTAGCTTTTAAAAATAGTGCTTTGGGCCAGACGTGGTGGCTCACGCCTGTAATCCCAGCACTTTGGGAGGCCAAGGTGAGTGGATCACCTGAGGACAGGAGTTTGAGACCAGTCTGGCCAACATGGTGAAACCCCGTCTCTAATAAAAATACAAAAATTAGGTGGGCATGGTGGCTCATGCCTGTAGTCCCAGCTACTCGGGAGGCTGAGGCAGGGGAATCACTTGAACCCGGGAGGCAGAGGTTGCAGTGAGCCAAGATTGCACCCACTGCACTCCAGCCTGGGAGACAAAGTAAGACTCTGTCTCAAAAACATAAATTAAAAAAAAAATATATATATATATATATGTGTATATATATATATACATATATGTATATATATATAGCATAGGCACACAACAGAATACCACTCAGCAATACAAAGGAATGAGCTACTGATGCATTCTGCAACATGGATGACTCTCAAAAACATCACACTAAGTGTTCAAGAAGTGTGGCACAAAAGGCCATGTATTGTATGATTTCATGTAGATGAAAAGTCCAGAAAATGCAAACCTAAAGAAATAGAAATCAGTGGCTGCTCAGGGCTAGAGGTATATGTGGAGATTAACTGCCAATGGTCAAGAGAGAGAATTCTGAGTGATGGACGTATTCTAAAGTGGATTGTGGTGGTGGGCGCACAACTTTCTAACTGGGGCACTGCCCACTGTTTGCTTTTGCAGTCTCGGGTCCCAGTGCTTCCCTTCATGCACCTTAAATTCTACTTAATGTGTCCCGAAGGAGCCTCATGCTTTCAAGCCTCTGCCCAGGCTATTCCTCCCGTCCAGCAGGTAACTCCTCCCAGTCTCCACCTGTGGCAGTGTTATTTACTCGCCATGGCCCAGAACAAATGTCACTTCCTCTGGCATGCCATCATCAATCCCTTCCTCCTACACAGTCTCGCCGAACATTCTCGCACACCCCTGAGAATCTGCTTCACTCGAATTCTTCAGCTGTGTCTATGCATGGCTGTCTCCTCACCACTCGACAGGGAGCAACTTCAGGGCAGGGACAAGGTCTCATTCTTCTACTGCACCTAGCAAAGTGTCAGGTACATCATAGCATTTGACGAATGATGGATAGATGAGAGGATGGATGGATGGATGGATGCATGGATGATGGATGGACAAAGCTATGAAGAACAAGTGGGACTGAAGCCGATGGAAAATGGACAGGCTGGTTTAAGCAAAGGTGAGCCAGTTGTTAGGAAAGCACTTTTTAAAAGACTAAAAAACAATGACTATGTGTAAAAGACAATGGTGAAGAAGATAACTCGTCTCTTACCTTCATCAAGCAGCCAGCAAACACAAGGAAGCCTTTTGAATGCAGATGCTTGGCCAATGAGAACCCAAATCCAGAGTCACAGCCTGTGACCAGGACAGCTTTGCTGCCAACCTGTTTTACAAGGTCAGATTCCATGTTAGGAACCGGTGGTACAGGGGCAAAGTGACCAGGCCTCTCCACCCTCTGTGCAGTGAGAGTTAGTGCTTCCTGAGTGGCCCAAGCCTGGCCCTCCCTACCTTGTTCTTGTTGTCTGGAGAAGCACCATGGTATAGTGGAAAGGCCAGGTTCTAACCCAGACTCGGCTACCAACCAGCAATGTTGCTTGGGAAAATTACTTCTGCCTTCAGGATCTCATCTACAATCCCCCATGCTACATGTGAGAAACAGAGGTCTTTTTAAAACGCTCAATGTAGCTAGTGATAGAGCTGGAACTGAAACCAGGGCTGAGAGATTCCAGAGTCTAAACTCTTCTTCTTTTTTTTGAGATGGAGTTTGGCTCTTGTTGCCCAGGCTGGAGGGCAATGGCCAGTCTCGGCTCACCGCAAAACCTTCACCTTCCAGGTTCAAGCAGTTCTCCTGCCTCAGCCTCCCAAGTAGCTGGGATTACAGGCATGCACCTCCACGCCCGGCTAATTTTGTATTTTTAGTAGAGATGGGGTTTCTCCATGTTGGCCAGGCTGGTCTTGAACTCCCTACCTTAGTTGATCCACCCACCTCGGCCTCCCAAAGTGCTGGGATTACAGGCGGGAGCCACCGCCCTGGGCCTCCGGAGTCTAAACTCTTAACCCCTAACTTGCTGGGTGGGGCTGGGAGTTCTCGCCCCCCACCTAGGCCTCCAGTGATACCTTCCTGGCTGGGAGGGGCTGGAGTGCCTCATTACTGCTTCCTCCCCACATGGATGGGGGTGTGTGAGCTCATTACTGATGAGGGGCTTTGGGGGAGGGTTAAGTGAGAAAGTGGCTCCCAGTGTCCTGGAAACACTAAGGCCCCACTCTGAGGGTAGCTCAGGGCCTAGGGGCCCAGAAGAAAGGGTTCTGACCATCCAACTGGCTCCCGGGTAGCTGGGCTTCCACTCACCGGCTCCGCCGCACTGGCATAAGTCCGACGGCCAATCGGGATAAAGGAAGTAGAACCAAGCAATAGTGGGCGTCTGCAAGAGAAAAGGAAGCCGTGAGTACAAGGACAGACTAGACAGACCCTCAGCCACACTGGCCTAGAGCAGCACTGGGTGTCTCTCCAGCCCCGGCTCCTGGAGACAGCTTGCTGGTACAACTGAGTAAGAGGCCCTCTTTCCACCAGGGTTGCTGGCTGATAGAAAGTGAGCCAGTATTTGCTATGGCTATGTTTGCCACTGTCCAGGAAGAGCCTTCCTGAGAATAAAGCCAATTCTGAAGCTACTTTTGTTGGGCAGGCTCTGCTAAACCCTGGCCATCCAGTGTCCCACTCCAATAAAGTTCCATTTTCTGCTTTCCAAGATGACATGGATAGGTAATGTTTCAAGCTAATTCAAGTGTGAACTATCCTTGTAGTAGTATAGCTTTGTTAAAGCCTGCTGCAATTTTGATGTCTTAATCCACAGTAGGCTAAGCTTCCTGAGAGTTACTTCAATCATACTTTTTATTTTGAAATAATTGTAGATTCACATGCAATTAAGAAATAATACAGAGAGATGCCAGGTCTTACCTCATTTCCCCTAAGGGTAGTATCTTGCAAAACTGTATTACCATATCACAACCAGGATACTGACACGGATACAATAAAAATACAGAAATTTCCATCACCACAAGGATCCTTCATGTTACCCGTTTATAGCCACACCTACTTTCTTCCCACCCGGCTCCATCTTTAACCACAAATCTGTTCCCCATCTCTGTAATTTTAGAATTTCAAGAATGTTATGTAAATGGCATCATACAGTATGTATCCTTCAGGGGCTGGCTTTTTTCATTCAACATAATTCTCTGGAGATTCATCCAGATTGTTATGTATCAATAATTTGCTCCTTGTTATTGCTAGGTAGTGCTCCATGACACAGGGGTATGACAATTTGCTTAACTATTTACCTACTGAAGGACAGCTGAGTTGTTTCCTGTTTGGGCATATTATGAATAAAGCTGCTTGAACATTCCTACACAGGTTTTTGCGCAAACGTTGAGTTTTCATTTCTCTTGGGTAGGTGCCCAGGGGTGTAATTGCTGGGTCATATGGTAGTTGCAGGTTTAGTTTTTTAAGAAACTGACAAACTGTTTATGAAAGTGGCTATAGTACGCTACAGCCCCAGTGGCAGTGTCTGAACAACCCAGTTTCCCCACAGCCTTGTCGGCATTTGGTGGTGTCACTATTTTCTAGTTTAGCCATGCTGAAAACTGTATCATGATATTTCGCTGTGGTTTTAATCTGCATTTCCCTAATGGCTAATGATGTTGAACATCTTTTCATGTTTATTTGTCACCTGTCTTAGTCTGTTTGGGCTGCTATAACAAAATATCATAGACCGGGTGGCTTACCAACAACAGACTTATATTCCTTACAGTTCTGGAAGCTGGGGAGTTGAAGTGCAAAGTGCCAGCAGACTGTGTTTGGTGAGGGCCCACTTTCTTCATAGACAGATGTCTTCTCACTGTAACCTCACATGGCAAAGGTCTCTTTTATAAAGACACTAATCCCATCCATGAGGACTCCACCTTTATGACCTAATCACTTCCCAGGGCCCCTGCCTCCTAATACCAATACCTTGGGGGTTAGGATTTCAACACAGGAATTTGAGGAGAATGCAAACATTCGGACCATAGCACCCTATGTTTGGTAAAATGCCTCTTCATGTCTTTTGCCCATATTCTATTGAATCGTTCATTCTTCTACCCCGTTGAATGTTGAGAATTCTTCAGATGTCCTAGCTGCTAGTCCTTGGTTACATATGTGGTAGGCAAAATTTTTCTCCTAGCCTATGACGTGCCTTTTTATCCTCTGTAGCAGGGTCTACTGCAGGGGCAAAAGTATTTCACTTGGACTCGGAATCAGGAAACCAGGGGTTGTAACCCAGACTCTGCCACCAACCAACAACGTTGCTTAGAGAAATTACTTCTGCCTTCAGGATCTCAGTGTCCTCGTCTACAATCATCCATGCACCACGTGGGACAACAGAGGAATTTTCAATGCCCAATGTAGTTAGTGATAGAGCTAACTAGTGAAACCAAGGCTGAGAGAGTCCAGAGTCTAAACTCTTAACCCCTAAATAAAGTCTAGTATTTTCCTATTATGCGGCATGCTTTTGATGTCAAGTCTCAGAGCTCTTTGCCCCCAGGACCCAAAGATTTTCTTCTATGTTCTTTTCTAAAAGTTTTATAGTTTTGGCTGGGATGGTGGCTCATGCCTGTAATCCCAGCGCTTTGGGAGGCTGAGGTGGGCAGATTGCTTGAGCTCAGGAGTTCGAGAACAGCCCGGGCAACATGGCGAAACCCCATCTCTACAAAAAATACGAAAATTAGTCAGGTGTGGTGGCTCACGCCTTTAAGTCCCAGCTACTTGGAAGGCTGAGGCAGGAAGATCAACTGAGCCCAGGAGGCAGAGGTTGCAATGAGCTGAGATTGCACCACTGCACTCCAGCCTGGGGGACTGAGGGAGACCCTGTCTCAAAAAAAAAAAAAGTTTTATAGTTTTATGTTTTACTTCTTAAGTCTATGATCCATTAATTTTTGTATAAGACGTCAGACTTAGGTCTAAGTTTTGTGTCCATTTGCTCCAGCGCCATTTTTTGAAAACGTTATCTTTCCTCTATTGAATTGCTTTTGCACTTTTGTCAAAAATTGGTTGGGCATATTTGGGTGGGCCTATTTCTGGATTTTCTATTTTGATTCATTGATATATGTGCTGCTACTTTATTTTTCTTCTTCAAAATTCTTTTAGCTATTCTATTTCCTTTGCCTTTCCATATAAATTTTAGAGTAATCTTGTCTTCATCTATAAAAAATATGACTGGGATTTTTATAGAAAGTGTGCTAAACCTGTATATCAATTTGGGGAAAGTTGGCATCTTTACTTTGTTGAGTCTTCCAATTCCTGAGTACAGTATGGGGTTTCCATTTACATAGATCTTTGATTTCTTTCATCAGTGTTGTGTCGTTTTCAGCATTTAAACCATACATGCGGCCGGGCATGGTGGGTCATCCCTGTAACCCCAGCACTTTGGGAGGCCGAGGCAGGTGGATCAACTGAGGTCAGGAGTTCAAGACCAGCCTGGCCGACATGGTGAAACCCTGACTCTACTAAAAATACAAAAAACCAGCCGGGCATGGTGAGGGGGTGCCTGTAATCCCAGCTCCTCGGGAGGCTGAGGCAGAAGAATCACTTGAACCCAGGAGGCGGAGGTCAAAGTGAGCCGAGATCGCACCATTGCACTGCAGCCTGGGCAACAAGAGTGAAACTCCGTCTCAAAAAAACCCAACCAAACAAACAAAAACAAAACAAAAAACAAATCCTACACATGCTGTGTTATGTGTAACATGTTTGTTACATCTATTTCTCTCTTTTTTTGAGCAACTACAAATGGTATTGTTTTGTTTTGTTTTATTTTATTTCATTTTATTTTATTTTTTGAGACAGGGTCTCACTCTGTTGCCTAGGCTGGAGTGCGGTAGCATGATCTCGGCTCACTGCAGCCTCCGCCTGCCACACTCAAGCAATCTTTCCACCTCAGCCTCCCCAGTAGCTGGGACTACAGGCATGCACCACCAGGTTCAGCTAATTTTTGTATTTTTTGCAGAGACAGGGTCTCACCATGTTGCCCAGGCTGATCTTGAACTCCTGGACTCAAGTGATCCTCCCACCTCATCCTCCCAAAGTGCTGGGATTACAGGCATGAACTACCACATCCGGTCGAAACTGTATTGTTTTAAAATTTGATATCCATATGTTCATTGCTAGTATACAGAAATGCAATTGATTTTTGTGTGTTATCTTGTATCTTGTAACCCTGCTAAACTTACTTATTAGTTCTAGGAGTTTTTTTGTGGATGCCTTGGGATCTTCTATGTACACAATCATGTAATCTGCAAATATGGGGTCTTATTCCTTCTTTTCCAATCTATATGACTTTTACTTCCATTTCTTACCTTATTGCACTGGCTAGAAATTACAGCACTATGTTGGATAAGCGGTGAGAACTAATATCCTTGGTTTGTTCCCCATCTTAGGGACAAAGCATTCAGTCTCACCCTTAAGTATGTTAGCTGAAGGCTTATGGTGTTTACCCTTTATCAAGTTCAGGAAAATCCCCCTCTATGTCTATTTTTCCTGAGATTTTTAAAATCATAAATGTGTGCTAAATTTTGCATCTTCTGCATTGATAGAGAGCATCATGTAAGTTTTCTTCTTTTAGTTCATTAATTTGGTGGATGAGATTAATTTTCAAATAATGAACCATCCTTATATCCCTGGAACAAACCCACTTGTTCTGTCCTACTGCACTGGTCATTTGGCTAGAGAGAGCAAATTTTTGTTGGGGCTTTTTGCGTCTGAGCTTACTGGTATTTCTGGGTTGCCGGCTGCTTCAACTCCAAGTCTGGGACATAAGAAACAAAAAGAAAACCTAGAGAACTCATCACTGCACCATTTCTTGGGTCCTGAGGTCCTTAGCTGGTCTGCCTTCTTCTCTCTGCCTTTTAAGAGGCTTTTTATATATTACATACTTACTAAATTATTTATAATTTATGTAATATCCAGGGTTTTTAGTTGTACTTGACAGAAAGAATAGAGAAAAGTACATCTACTCCATCTTCCCAGAAGCGGAGGTCCTGTTAGTTTTTAAAGGATATTAACCCAGTAATGACAAATGAAGGAGGTAGGGGTGAATGAGCAGGTGGTAACAGGGGAAAAGAGATGGGAGATAGACTTACCTTTTCTGTATACCATTTGACGCCATTCAAATTTTGTTTTTTGTTTTGTTTTGTTTTGTTTTTGAGACAGAGTTTCACTCTTGTTGCCCAGGCTGGAGTGCAGTGACACGATCTCAGCTCACTGCAACCTCCGCCTCCTGGGTTCAAGCGATTCTCCTGCCTCAGCCTCCTGAGTAGCCGGGACTACAGGCTTGCATCACCACACCTGGCCAATTTTTGTATTTTTAGTAGAGACGGGGGTTCACCATGTTGGCCACACTGGTCTCGAACTCCTGACCTCAGGTGATCCGCCTGCCTCGGCCTCCCAAAGTACTGGGATCACAGGCATGAGCCACGGCGCCCGGCCTGCCATTCAAATTTTGTACCATGTAAATATATTACCTATTCAACATATTAAGCTTTTAAAAAATTATTAAAATATGTTCTTAAAGAACATTAAATTCACTAGACAGAAATGAGGGTTCACTAGGAAAACCTGCCAAGGTAACCCCCTGTCCTTTTGTACTGCCACAGAGGAGTCTGGATTTTAAGTCCTTGTGCACGGATGGTCTCAAGTGATCAGGATAGTGTGGTCGGTACACCCAAAGCTTGTGAATGACTCCATCCAAAGAGCATCAGTCTGTATTCCCATGACCCCCAGTGTTGCTCTGCAGAAAGAATGAGAAGGTGTCATTGAAACCACCATTGCAAAACACTGAGACAGTGAAAGAGAGCTGACCTAACCAACTCCATCTTGCTTCTAACCTCCAAGCCGTCCTTTTTCATTCCTGGCTGTGGGCTGAGCTAGCTTTGGGAGGAACTTAGTTTACAGTTGTGTTTTTTTGAGATGGAGTTATATTTGAGATGAGTTATATTTTTTTGAGATAAAGTTCCACTCTTGTCACCCAGGCTAGAGTGCAGTGGCGCGATCTTGGCTCGCTGCAACCTGGGTTCAAGCAATTCTCCTGCTTCAGCTTCCCAAGTGGCTGGGATTACAGGCACCCACCACCACGCCTGGCTAAGTTTTGTATTTTCAGTAGAGACAGGGTTTTGCCATGTTGGCCAGGCTGGTCTCGAACTCCTGACCTCAGGTGTTCCGCCCACCTCAGCCTCCCAAAGTGCTGGGATTACAGGTGTGAGCCACCACGCCCAGACTATAGTTTATAGTTTAAAACAAAGATGGCAGCCCTTTCCCAAAACAAACCTCCTTCTTGCCTGGGGATCAGACTGTCTTTGTAGGACTAACAAATTAGGCACCAGATTACAAATTATAAACCATAATTTATAGCCATGCAGCTAGAGGCTACAAGATTCTGACCCTCCCTACACTGCTCCTAAGATCAGCGCTTGGGATACTTTGCAGACCCTGCACTGGATGGATCAGCTGGCACCACCCAGGTGGACAAACTGGCTCATCTGCTCTTGTGGCCCCGACCCAGGAACTGACTCAGCGCAAGAAGACAGCTTCAATTTCCCATGATTTCCTCTCCGGCCCAACCAATCAACACTCTGTCACTGGCCTTCCCCCACCCACCAAATTATCCTTAAAAACTCTTGATTCCTGAATGTTTGGAGAGACTGATTTGAGTAATAATAAAACTCTGGTCTCTTGCACAGCCGGCTCTGCGTGAATTACTCTTTGTCTACTGCAAGTCCTCTGTCTTGATAAACCGGTTCTGTCTAGGCAGTGAGCAAGGTGAAGCCATTGGGCAGTTACATCCCTAGTGGAACTAGATGATTTGTTCCTGTCTCCTTAAGGGCCACACCCTTAGCACTTTTTTTTTTAGACAGCGTCTCTCTCTTTCACCCAGACTGGAGTGCTGTGGCACAACCTTGGCTCACTGCAACCTCCGCCTCCCGGGTTCAAGCAATTCTCGTGCCTCTGGCTCCCAAGTAGCTGGGATTATTATAGGCATGTTCCACCACGCCCTGCTAAATTTTGTGTTTTTGGTAGAGATGAGGTTTCACCATGTTGGCCAGGCTGGTCTCGAACTCCTGGCCTCAAGTGATCCACCTGCCTCTGCCTCCCAAAGTGCTGGGATTACAGGTGTGAACCACCATGCCCAGCCTACCTGACATTTTTAAAAGTAACAAAAAGGTTGTGGCCGGGAGCGGTGGCTCACACCTGTAATCCCAGCACTTTGGGAGGCTGAGGCGGGCAGACACTTGAGGCCAGGAGTTCGAGACCAGCCTGGCCAACATGGTGAAACCCCATCTCTACTAAAAATACAAAAATTAGCAGGGCGTGGTGGCACACGCCTATAATCCCAGCTACTCAGGAGGCTGAGGCAGGAGAATCATTTGAGCCCGGGAAGCAGAAGTTGCAGTGAGCCAAGATTGTGCCACTGTACTCCAGCCTGGGCGAGAGTGAGACCTGTCTTAAAACAAAAACAAAACAAAACAAGTAACAAAAAGGTCTAGGCAAGAGAGCTTATTTCAGATTGACTTGCTGCCCGTCTTTCTCTAAACTGTCTCTCCATTGTCAAATATATTCAGACCTAAAATTAACTGAGTCTGGGTGTATTATACCAGGCTCTACCACTTATACCCAACAGTCAATGGCGCATTTCTACTCTTCCAGAGAGCAGAAGGTTCTATCTCGACTCACCTGCCCCCCCCACAGCAATACCCTGACAAGGTGGGTAAGGTGGGGCTGTGAATACTCCTGGGCGGGCAGCTCCAGCTAGCATGACAGTGCCTCCTGAGCACTGCTGGACTTCTCGGCCTTTCCTTCTTGGCCACTGCTGGGATTGCCTCATCCTACTCTAATTCCTCTTCCCTCAATTTGCAGCTCTTACAGTCGCTGTGGGATCCCCATCTTAGGGCTGCTTCTCAATTTGAAGGGGCCTTGGGACCAGGAAGACCTTACTGCCTCAGCTCTCAAAAGTTAGTTAACAAGCACTTGGGGAGCTTGTTAAAATGCAAACTCCCAGGTCCCTCCCGTTGACATTCTGATTCAGTAGGAAGGGGTGGCCCCAGAAATCTGCCTGTGTCATTCACCTCAGGGGATTCCAGTGCAACAGGTCCTGGGGGAAGAACTGGTTCATCTAGTCCACAGCAGTTGTTCTCTGGGCCCCTGTTTATTAGAATCACTTGGAAATGTGATCATGGTCGTGTGGTTATATTACTAAAACGAGTTCTTATCATTTAGAGATAAATATTAAAATATTTGCAAATGAAATACCATGTCCAGGAATTGCTTCGAAAATTAATCTGGTATGGGGAGGGGGAGGAAAATGGAGATGTAGCTGAAACAAGATTGGCCATGTGCTGATAATTATGGAAACCCAGGTGACAGGTACACCAGGGATCAATATACAGCTTTCTACTTTTGCGTATGTTTGAGATTCTCCATAGAATGATTTTTTTTTTCTTTTTAATCACAGGGAAGTTCTTTAAAGTATTCCTTTGCCTAGCCTCACTCCTGACCCAGAGGTGAGGCACAGACACTTTTTCCCTCACTGTTCTCTAGGTGATTCTAACCCACAACCAAGGTTCAATACCACTGCCCTACAGGAAAAGAAAAACAAAGACCTATCCCCAGGGGGTTCCCCTTTGAGCCCCTTGAATGCCAAAGCCCCAATATCCCTGTGAACAGCTGGAGGCCACAGCCCAGCTGAGCTGTGACAGACACTGCTCTTTGCCTGCCAGCATCCGTTCTTCTCATCTGCCTCACTAACAAGAATCTGGATTTTGTCCAGGGACAGCAGTGCGCCCAACGCTTTCCAGATTACCACCCACCTAGTGGTCACGTGACCTGCCTCTGGCCAATAGGCTGCAAGCGGAGGTCGACCACAATTGCTGAGTTTTGCTTTCCCGATGCAGGTGCGTTGCTTGTCCCTGCCTGGACTGAGGCTGGAGGTGAAGGACTATCACAGTATCCTGGGATCCTGAGCTGCCTTCAGAATAACACAGCAGAAAAAAACAAGGAGCCTGGGCTCCCCAAAGCCACAATGGCCCTAGACTTCTAGGGGTTCCTGCTATTCTTAGTGTGAGGCAATCCCAGCTCATACACTGGTCTCCCAGGGCTAAGAATGCCCATGAGGCGTTAGGCCCAAAACCAGCACATAAAATAGTGTGTATTTCCCTGGAGGGTCTCCTCTGCCCAGGAGGGTCCTGCAGTAACAGCAAGCTGCTGGCCAACCAAGCCACTAACACCAACAGCTATGCCGGTCTCAGTCTCTCGGGAGGCACAAGTTAAGCTCGAGATGGTCAACACGCTTTCTTTCTTGCTTGCTTTTTTTTTTTTTTTTTTTGAGACGGAGTTTTGCTCTTGTCGCCCAGGCTGGAGTGCAATGGCACGATCTCGGCTCACCGCAACCTCTTCCTCCCGGGTTCAAGCGATTCTCCCGCCTCAGCCTCCCAAGTAGCTAGGATTACAGGCACACGCCACAGGCCCGGCTAATTTTGTATTTTTATTAGAGACGGGGCTTCTCCATGTTGGACAGGTTGGTCTCAAACTCCCGACCTCAGGTGATCCGCCCGCCTCAGCCTCCCAAAGTGCTGGGATTACACGTGTGAGCCACCGCGCCCCCACCGGTCAACACACTTTCTGAAGGGAGAGCCCAAAGGGGTGGCTGTGAGGTTCAGAAGACGAGAGCTTCCTGATTTTTGCCCTAACCCAGGAACAGAATGAGAGGGAGGAAGTGGTGCAGTCTGGCACCTCCCCAAGGCCCTGTGGAAGAGCCTGCTGTCCTCAGCGCCCTGGTCATCCCGGCCGCATTTGAGAGCGCTCCCTATGCTGGCCAGGGCGTTCATTCTGGCTTCTTCTCTATCTTACCAGTCTGTGTGTCTGTGCCTTTTATTGTCCCCATCAGGAATCAGAAACAATAACCAGTAACCCAGCTTTCTGCTGAGAGGAGCCATGAGTCCATTTGAATCTAACAAGACGGGGCTTAGGAGGAACACATATCAGTGGCACAGGTGCAGCTCGGGAGAAATATGGCCTCACGGCAGCATCTGTGAAAAAAATTTAGCCTGTTTGACCATGAATCCCGCATGTGATGTGGCAGCCAAAAGAAGCTATGTGAGCCTAGGCTGGACAGGAAAGAAACTAGGATAGGGGAGGCAAGAGCCCTTCTCCACTCTGCCCGGGTCAGGCCACCCTGGGAGCACTATGTGCTGTACCTGGCCTGGCAGAGCTGAGCACTGGTGATCACAGCCCAGGAGGCAGGGTCCCAGATGTGAGCAAGGCACCTGCCCCAGGGATGCCAGAGTCTTCTGGCAAAGCCAGAAATCTGAGAAATCTGAAATCGGAGGGCCATGGGGAGCCAGTAAGCACAGCAGGTTGTCAAGTGTTGGGGTTGGGGGCCTTATCCAGCCACTCCTGGGAAGGTTTTCATCTGGACGGAGCCATGTGTACTGGGTGATGCCTGCTCTGGGCATGTCAAGAGTGGTGGGTGTTTTGTTCAGGCACCACACCTTAAGAAGGAGCACAGGCAAAGTGCAGACCATTCAGCGGGGAGACCTGGATGATAGTGGGGAAACCATGAGAGATAAACAAGGAGAAACCATGTGGGTGGAGTAAGAGTAGACAAGTGGGTGGGTATTGAGGTGGCACAGTGCCCCTGGGGAGAAGGGAATAACTCGCTCAGTGTGAATGCAGGGGCAGACCCAAGAACAAGGAGTGGCATTAACAGGAGAAAAGATTTCTCCTCAATAAGGAGATGTCCAAACACAGGAGGCCTGCTATGAGAGGTACTAACCTCTCCATCACTGGACATATTCAAACAGAGGCGATAAAGTCACTTGGTAAGGATGCTATCAGCAAGATTCACTCACAGGTGCAGACTGGAGTATGAGGCCCTTTCCAACTGAGACTCAAGCAAAATGATCAGGCCAAAGTTTTCCCTCTGAGGGACTGTGGGATCCTAGGCATGGCGATTACCCACCATGCCAGCCTCCTTCTGTACCTGGGTCCCCCTCCACGCTGCCCATACCTTCACCCTACGACATTGACTCTACTCTGACAGCTCTGCGGCTGCCCAACCACCACCCAGGCCCCTCAACCTAACCAAGTTACTTCTCAGTCCATCCAGAAGATTCCAAATTCCCTTTGACAATCTTTCTTTCCCCTCAAGTGAGCCAGGAGCTTGACTAATGCCTCATTTTCCTTACATTTAAGAACAAAACCTTTGTAAAAGTATTTTAACTTCATGTGGGATTATCTTCTCCTCTATAAAAAAACTCCAGAAATCTCTAAAAGCCATGTTGGAGACAGATCTTGCCATCTTTATGAATCACTCACTGAAAAAACAATTGCAGCAAGTCACCTTCTTTCAAAAGCCCTTCAACAAAGCCGAGCTCCGTCCCCGCTCTGATGGCAGGGGCCTCCGCCGTCCCCGCTGTGATGGCAGGGGCCTCCTGCCGCCTGTGCCAATGGGGCATTCTAAACTCTTCTCATGTGGGGTCCTCAGGTAGGTGGAGCCCCAGCTCCAAGCCATGCCTCTGTATCTCTCAGAAATAAATTCAAGCAAATGCTGCTAAAAGCCGGGCCGGGCGTGGTGAATCCCAGCACTTTGGGAGGCCGAGGCAGGCGGATCAGTTGAAGTCAGGAGTTCAAGACCAGCCTGGCCAACATGGCAAAACCCCATCTCTACTAAAAATACAAAAAATTAGCCGGGTGTGGTGGCACATGCCTGTAGTCCCAGCTACTTGGGAGGCTGAGGCGGGAGAATTGCTTGAACCCGGGAGGCAGAGGTTGCTCTGAGCCAAGAGGTTGCCACATTGCCTGGGCAACAGAGTCTCAGTCTAAATGCATGTTCCATTAAACATATTATTGGCATAGAAATATCAGTGTTCTAGATCCTGGGACTTTGAATTTAACATAATCTTCAATTTCACTCCCCTCAAATTCACTCCCCTCAAATATAACAGAAAGAAAAAGGTATTTCTTGTTTTTTCCTTGCTCAGACTGCAAAAGAGTAAAATGTGGCAGCAGAGCCCACTGAATCCCCTGGGAAAAGGCAATTCCAGAAGCTCTCAAAGAAGAACAGCTGCTTGTCTAATTTGTACTTATATAATGCTTCCTCGAAATCACACAAACGATGCGGTGAAGGTTTGGGACATCTCGGCTAACTGATTTCATGCATAAAGTTTTAAAAGAGCAGTTATCAAAATAATGTACCTCCTGGCACGACGGGCTGAGAAAAGCACCGCTTCACTGCCGCAGGCGTCTTGCCACACAAACCCAAACTGAGAGACATTGTACAACATAACCAGCGAGAGTGTCAAGGTCGTGAGCGAAAAAGACTGAAGACCTGTCCCCGGCAGGAAGAAACTAAAAACACATGACACCTCCGAGCCATGTGGGATTTGGGATTCGATCCTGGACCAGAAAAAGGTCCATCAGCAGCCACTTGGCAACACTGGAATAAGGTCTGTAGACTAGTTAATAGTATTCTATCAATGGTAATTTCCTGATTTTGATCATTGCAGTATGGTTTTGTAAGATGTTAACATTTAGGGAAGTTAGCTGAAGGGGATCCAGAAACCCTTTCCAACGATTTTTGCAACTTTTGTATAAGTCCAAAGTTATTTCAAAAT
The DNA here is from genome assembly GCF_000001405.40 of Homo sapiens. Classification (NCBI taxonomy): domain Eukaryota; kingdom Metazoa; phylum Chordata; class Mammalia; order Primates; family Hominidae; genus Homo; species Homo sapiens. Next base: position 197,545,830 of record NC_000003.12, read on the forward strand.
AAAAAGGGTTTTAAGAAGTGGTTATGGCCAGGCACAGTGGCTCATGCCTGTAAACCTAGCACTTTGGGAGGCCAAGGCGGGTGGATCACCTGAGGTCAGGAGTTCAAGACCAGCCTGGCCAACCTGGTGAAACCCCGTCTCTACTAAAAATATAAAAATTAGCTGGGCATGGTGGCAGGTGCCTGTAATCCCAGCTACTCAGGAGGCTGACGTGGGAGAATCACTTGAACCCAGGAGGCGGAGGTGGCAGTGAGCCGAGATCACGCCACTGCACTCCAGCCTGGCAACAGAGTGAGACTCCATCAAAAAGAAAAAAAAATAAGTGGTTATGAAAGATATTCCTTTCTGCCCTGTGTGCCCTGGGAAAATGTCTTCCCAGGACACCTCTGAGTTTCCTCTGCTGGGAGACAAAGGTATTGAGAGACATCTCTGAGAATCAGGCCTCATCACCGCCTACACTGTCCATGTGTGAAAACCTCTGCCTGCTCAGAAAGTGTCCCCTCAAGGCCACCACCACCTCTGGTTGCTTACCTTGCTCCATTTTCTCTATCACAGGCACTTAGGGTTTTTCCTGGGAGCCGTGACAGGGGTCTGGAGAGGCGGGTGGCCAGCATGGTAGCAACGGGTGTTAGAATGGCCCAGTTCCTCCCGGTGGTTCTGAAACATAAATGCACCCTCAGCATTACTTTGTTGCCTTCCGGGCTTTAATCAGGAGCAGTCATGTTCCTTTCAGGTTGTGAAAGTCAAACTGGGCTGCATCTGTTCCACCCAGCTCCAGTCCTGGTACCACCAGGTAGTCCACTCTGGTTCCTCTCTCAAGCTGCAGCTTCACAATGGAAAGAGTCAGGAGCCAGGGTGCCTGGAAGCCTGGGTTCTGGCTCTAGCTGTGCCACCAAACACACTGGGCAACCCTGGGCAAGTCATCACCCATTCATAATGTGAGCAGGTTGGCCCAGATCAGTGATCCTCAAACCCGCCAACCACTGGGAGACTCGGGGACCTAACCCCTCAGGGATTCTGACTCGGTAAGTCCTATTCCTCTAACCTGCTGAAACACCCACCTGTGGTGCCCCAGGGCATCAGCCTTCATTCCTGAGGTGCCCACCTGCCCCTGCAGGCAGCTTGTCCTCATGCCACATAGCATCTGACTCAGCCGTCCACCTCTTTCCCCCATGCGAACAAACAAGGGGGCTCTGGCTCTGAGGCTGAATTAATCAGTAATTCATTATAGCATAGAGTTTGGAGCTGCCAAATAAGAGACTCTTGTAATTAACACACACACACACACCCTCCCCGCTCCCTCACCATTTGAGGTTAAAGCAACCTTATTGCAACAAGAATCTCTTGGTAACACCTTAAGGCTGCTAGGCACCACGACTCTTCAGCATTATTGACCGCTGATCAGCACGGGCATGCGTTGCCCTCCTGTTCTGTTAATAGTGATTCCTCCAGGCCTAAGGGAAGGAAGGCGGGCTGGTAAATGGGTTCCAGCCTCTCCTTTGCCTACCTGGCTGTAGTCTGTCATACTGTTCCTGGTAATAAGGTACTGCCTGGGAGGCTCCTCCCCTGCCTGTTTGCTGCCACCCCAAACCTTACTGATAACCAGCCACCTGGGCCCAGAGGTCAGCAGTGTTAACTGAGCAACCACTGCCATGCACTCTGCTGGAAGCAGGTGGAGGCGTTTAATCTGTTTAATCCTCAGGAAAGGAAAGCAGGCAGAAACCTCTCTGGTGTTACCTTTCCAGAACTACAGTAAACTCTCGCTTGTACTCCTGCCCCTATTTGCCACACCCCCATTCTCAGCACAGCAGCCCAAGAAACCTTTTTAACACCGGTCAAGCTATGCGACTTCCGTGTTTAAAGCCAACTTTCCATGCCCGTGGGGGCTGGCCTCTCCCTCCCTGGAGGCCCCTAGCTCACTGGGCCACCCTCCTCTTTGCTCACTGCGTCGCAGCCACCACTGACTCCAAGAACTCCTTGCCCACGTGAGGGCGTTCCTGCCTCAGAGTACCGGCTCCTGCTCTGCCCTCATCCTGGATGCTGAGTCCTCTGTCTCCCTCACTAAAGTGGCTCCCATTCAACACACAGGTTGCTCTCTGTAAGATCACTCTCATAGCAGCTACCTTAATTCAAAATTATGTTTATTTACTTTATCTTCTACTAGATCCTAAGCTCAGTGACACCAGGAATCCTCTCCACCTGGTTCACCACCAAATCCTCAGTGCCTAGAACGAGCCTGACGCAAAGGAGGCACTCTGAGTCCCTGGGGAGTGGATGGGAGCTGAGCGGGCTCCCGCAGGGCAGTCTGGGGGTGGAAAGTCGGCCTGTGGCCACAAAAGAAGTTTCCATGGAAAGCTCCTTGCAGAGAGCAGCAGAATGGAGCCCAGACTGGCTTTTTATGGTTTTATGGAAGGCACAGGCCCACGTTGGCTCAGACTTTTTCATGAGGCACCCCCTCCCACCATCTAAGTACTGACCAGCTGGCTAAGCACACACATCTCTACCTCCTCCCTCCAAGACCCAGGACCAGAGTCTGAGGTCACCATCACTGGGAAACTTCCCATCCAGTCATCTATAATTAAAGTCCTTTCCACCCCTTAGCTCAATGCCTGTGGCAGAAAATGCTTTAATATGATCTCCAAATAGACAGCTGCTTTCCATTTTGTTTTCCTTGAAGTCAGCCATATCTAAAAGTACTAAAGCCAAAATAATTAAAAGTGCATAAAAACTCAGTCCCTTGGCCAGGCGTGGTGGCTCACGCCTGTAATCCCAGCACTTTGGGAGGCTGAGGCAGGTGGATCACCTGAGGTCATGAGTTCGAGACCAGCCTGGCTGACATGGTGAAACCCTGTCTCTACTAAAAATACAAAAAATAGCCAGGCGTGGTGGCGGGCGCCCACAGTCCCAGCTACTCGGGAGGCTGGGGCAGGAGAATCGCTTGAACCCAGGAGGCGGAGGTTGCAGTGAGCTGAGATCACGCCACTGCACTCCAGCCTGGGTGACAGAGCAAGGCTCCGTCTCAAAAACAAAAATAACAAAAAAAAACAAAAAAAACACAAAAAACTCAGTCCCTTGAACAATGCACTGTTCTCAATGTAGTCTGTTGCATGCGTGTTTCTTAAACATGCAGCTATTTCCACTGCAGGGCTCCCAAAGACTCTTCAGGGTAGCTGTCTGCCATCTTCATGTTTTGTGCCAGGCCTTATTCTCTGTAAATATTAAGTTCTCAAACTTCACACACCACTTTCTTGCCTTTTAGTTTGGGAACAGAAATGGCTGTGGGAGGCGGGTGCTCAGTCTCCTCAGCCTTGAAAGTCAAGTAATTAGTTGCCCTGAGGTGACTGAGCACAGGGGGCTTGACTCCCAGGGACCAAACTCATAAGATACTGTCACAAAATCACGATGCTCACATATCAACCTGGAATCTTGGAGACATTTTTTAATGCTAGAAACACTTGGGGCTTCTCTCAAGGGCCCGCTCCACTGTCAAGGTATAACACATGGAAAGCACTCCTACTCCAGAAAAAAAGAAAACAGCGTGCGCATCCTTCCTCACTGCTGGGCTCACTGTGTTCCATTCCAACATGACCATCTTGCAGAGGTCACAGCTGGGGGCTTTCCTGTGAGGCAGCAGCAGGGGCTCCCCTCAAAGGGGCAGGCATTCCCAGTACTAACATTCTCAGCAGAGGCAAGGTATCCGCAGCAAACCGGGTCACACAAGGCAGGAAAGAGAACTCAGGTGTTTCTGGACATGAAGCCTACATGGGCCCTTGCCACTCCCAAGTGGGAGGCAAAGGTCCTGCCCCCGAGGAGGGCAAGCTGGGGTTATGCAGGGAAACAGCCAATGCAGAGACCTCACACTGAAGAGCTTCAGACCAGCAAGTTTCTGTGTCAGCTTCCCAAATCCTACAACTGGCAGCCTACCTAAACATGTTCTACTTGGCTGATTTGTTTGGCCAGCCTGCTGTTTTAAAAAGCAGTGTAACTAGGCAGCTAAGCTATGCTTGAACTCAATACAAACAGTTTGTACTTACTATGTTAAAACTATCCATATCATCTTTGTTAATTGCCTGGACACTATGGGCATTTGAGTTTTGAGATTCCTGACCATATATATCTATATATGCACTATAATCAAATAACTATTATATATATATTTGGCCATTCCTCTTCCGAACATTTCGTAGAGTCTTGCTTGAAAGTTCCAACCCAGCTCAGCTATACGTGGGAGCTTCCTTGAGGTCATGCAAACGGGAAACCTGACAAGTTCTCAAGCCCTCATTCAAAAAGACACCTAACATTCCTTAGAGAAGTAACCATTCTCAAACAAAAGTCAGAAATAATTACACAGGAACATCAAGTGATATAGTAGACAGTGTTCTCACCACCACTGTATCATACATGCAGAGATGACACTCACATGGCTCGTTTCACAGGGACCTTCAATAAAAGCCAAGGGTCTAACATTAGGCACACCCAATGCAGACACCTTGATCGTCCTGAGAGACATTCCAGTCACCAGATTAGGCTTCGGTGGCGACCAGTTCTCCTCCGATAACACACCACATACACTCTGCAGTGACTACCTTTCGGGGGTCTGTCCTGCTCACCTGATGTCCCCTCCTCTCAGACCTGCCCCTCCCTCATAGGATTTGGCCTCTGCAGCTGCAGAGACTATGCTTTGGTCACGGAGGACTGAGCCAGGAAGAGACACCAGACCCAAGGTGAGCCCATTGTTCTGTCCCCTGGCACCGTGAGAGAATGCGAACCATGCTCTGTGGCGCAGGGCCATGCAATGGCGCTGCTGGAGGACGGCAGCTACACTCCACTGGGCCCTGAAGCCACAGAGAGAGGGAGAAAGCCGATCTGCAGGGGGTGGGGGGATAAGATGCTCATGCAGAAAGCAGCAGGGGTGGAGGTGGAGGGAGGGAGGGAGAAAAGCAACAGCAGCAGCAGCCGCCTCCCATCTGCCCCCCAGCTCCAGAAGCCATGCTGTGCCTTTACAGTCTCTGTGTAATTTAAGCAGGCTGGACGTTTCTGCCACTTGCCACCAAATCAATAGTAGCTAAAACTGAAGGCAGAACACTATTATTTTTAACTTTTTATTTTTATGGGTAGGTCGTAGTTCTATATATTTACGGGGTACTATTTTGATATAGGCATACAATGTGTAATAATCACCTGAGGGAAAATGGAGTATCCACCCCCTCAAGCATTTCTCCTTTGTGTTACAAACAATCCAATTATACTCTTTTAGTTATTTTTATATGTGCAATTAAATGATCATTGACTATAGTCGCTGTGTTATGCTAGCAAATACTAGTTCTTATTCATTCTCTTTAACTTTTTGGTACCCATTGACCATCCCATCTTCTCCCCACTGCACAGACCCTCACTACCTGTCCCAGCCTCTGGTAACCATCATTCTACTACATCTCCATGAGTTCAATTGTTTTAATTTTTAGCTCCTACAAATAAGTGAGAACATGCAAAGCTTGTCTTTCTGTGCCTGGCTTATTTCACTTAACATAATGACCTCCAGTTCCATCCACGTTGTTGCAAATGACAGATCTCATTCTTTTTTTCTGGCTGAATACTACTCCATTGTGTATATGTACCACATTTTCTTTATCCATTTATCTGCTGATGGACAGTTAGGTTGCTTCCAAATCTTAGCTATTGTAAAAAGTGCTGGAACCAACATGGGAGTGCAGATATCTCTTCAATATACTGATTTCCTTCCTTTTGGGTATATACCCAGCAGTGGCACTGCTGGATCCTATGGTAGCTCTATTTTTTGTTTTTGGAGGAACCTACAAACTATTCTCTGTAGTGGTTGTACTAATTTACATTCCCACCAACAGCATATGAGGTGTATTAATTCTCAGTTTTGACCCCTATTCTGAGAATGCCTCATTTATAATGACCTTATAACGACACTGGAACCTGTGCTTCCCCCATTCCACTCCTCTTCTGTCCTTCCCCAAGACAAAGTGTTACCCGAGCTGTCAAAACTGCCATAATTACAACTGCCAGATCAAGTGGGCATTTTTTCACTAGGAGAACAGGGCTTGCCTACCAAATTAAAGGCAGGCCACTAAACAACGGAGTCTCAGGACTCTGTTCTTGGTCTGTTCTCCGCACCATGACGAGCACTCATAGCTTTAAATACGATTCACATGCCGCCAACTCCCGAAGGTTGATCTCCAACCCAACCTTCTCCCCTGAACTCAGACAACTGCGCATCTAACATCTCCACTTGAATGTTTACTACGTATCTCAAATGCAACCTGTGCAAAACTGAGCCTGTGCTATTGTCCTGCAGACCTGTTCCTCTAAATCTTCCTCATTCTTGACTCCCCTTTCCTGCACACTCCACGGCCCAGTGCTCGGCAAGTCCTATCAATGCCACCTTCACATATATCTAGGATCCTCCGCTACCAGCCTAGTCCAAGCCTTCATCCCTTCTTGCCTGGATTATTGCAGTAGCCTCCCAACTAGACTCTCCGCTTCCACTGTAGTTCCTCCAGATTCTGGTCAACACAGCCTGCAGGATCTTGCGGAACATAAATCAGATCATGTCACGCCTCACCAAACTCCTGCCAGAGTAAAAGCCAAAATCTAGAGTTTGCCTACAAGGCCCTCCATGTTCTGGGTCTCCATTGTCCCTCTGACCTCATTCCTACCTGGTTCACTGCACTTTGGTCACAGTGGCTTTCTTGCTGTCTTTGGAACATAGCAAGCCAGCTCCTGCTTCAGGGCCTTTGTCCTTACTGTTCCCTCTACCTAGAACACTCTTCCCTCAATATCCACAGTCCTTTACTAAAATGTTTACTAAGACATTCTCTGGCCACCCCATCTATCCCACCCCAACCCTGACTATCCCCCTTCTCTGCTTCCATTTTTTCCTCCTCCTTGGCACTTTATTACATTATAGCATTCTACATGTTGTACATATTTATCTTGTTTGTTGTTGTTCAGTCTCATTAGAATATAAGCTCTTTGAGAACAGGAATTTTTGTCTGTTTTGTTCACTGTTGTATCTCCAACATGTACAGCAGTGCCCTGCACACAACAGACACACAATATTGATTGATTGATTCATTGAGATGGAATCTCGTTCTGTTACCCAGGCTGGAGTGCAGGGGTGCAATCTTGGCTCACTGCAACCTCCACCTCTCAGGTTCAAGCAATCCTCCTGCCTCAGCCTCCCAAGTAACTGGGGTTACAAGCATGCACCGCCATGCCTGGCTAATTTTTGTATTTTTAGTAGAGACGGAGTTTCACCATGTTGGCCCGGCTGGTCTCAAACTCCTAACCTCAAATGATCTGCCCACCTCGGCCTCCCAAAGTGCTGAGATTACAGGTGTGTGCCACCACGCCTGGCTGGTACATAATTAAATGAATTAAGAGAGTTTTGGCTGGGTGTGGTGGCTCACGCCTGTAATCCCAGCACTTTGGGAGGCCGAGGTGGGCAGATCACGAGGTCAAGAGATCGAGACCATCCTGGCCAACATGGTGAAACCCCGTCTCTACTAAAAATACAAAAATTAGCTGGGTGTGGTCGCTCGCGCCTGTAGTCCCAGCTACTTGGGAGGCTGAGGCAGGAGAATTACTTGAACCCAGGAGGTGGAGATTGCAGTGAGCCGAGATCACGCCACTGCACTCCAGCCTGGCAACAGAGCAAGACTCTGTCTCAAAAAAAAAAAAAAAAAAAGAAGAGTTTTAAGAAGAGGAGTGCCATTATCAGACTTACATTTTTAAAAAGGTAACTCTCACTGGGTTAATAAGTTGAGGATGGACTAGAGCAGAAGCAGGGAGACCCATTAGGATCTGTGGCAGTAATCCAGGGCCACCATGTGCAGTCATGAGGGTTGTATATTGCACCACTGCAGTGAGATGTGAAAACGTGTTCCTTAGAAATGTACACCAGCCTTGGTGAAAACCATGGAACTGATTAGAATTGGTAAGTCTGGCTTTATATTGAAGGTAGAGTCCGCTACCATTTACCAACAGATTGAGTGTAGGATATGAAAGAAGGAAGAATCAAAGCCATTTCCAAGATGTTTGGTCTAGGTGTAACAAATGACAGTAGTGCAAATGATTAAGCAGCCTTTCTATTCACAAGTGCTTACTGCATTTCAAACCCGAGGACACAAGCTGAGCCCCCGAGTCCTCACCTGGCTCCTCCAAACCGTATCTCCAACTATACTTTTCTCCTCTACTCATTCAACCGTTTGCTACACCATCCCTCAACAAGCCCTGTACTTTCCAATTTTCGAGCCTTGCTCATCCTATACCAAACTGACTGCATCTGACCAAGTCCTAGCTGGTTCAGATAACTCTCCCGAGCAGCCTTTTCTAATCCCCTAATTCAAAAATCTTTCGCCCAATCTCCTCCCTTCTGTGCCTCTGTAACTGCACCTACCTAGCCAGGGTCGTATTCGAGGGATTTCTGTTTATAAACATTCACAAGCCCCCATCCTACCACCAATCCCCACCCGGACTGTGAGCACCCTACAGACAAGACCCAAATGTTGAATCACTCTCTTCTTGCTCCTCCGAATATTTATTGTGTGACGCCTGACAGGAAGTAGAGGCTCTGTAAATGTGTATTGAGTGAATATGAAAGCTTCACAAATTTCAAGGGTCAGCTTCCTTGGCGGCCAGGGATATATACGCCCTATGCAGAGCCCGGCTCCAACGCCTCTTGTAGAAAGAAGGACACTGACCAGGACATTTGCAGCGTCACAAAAGATCCTGTCAGCGCGAGGCCTGCAGGCGGCCCTCCATAGTGAAATATGTGCTTCTGCAACCCCTCAAAGTAGGAACTGCAGGGTGACTCTGCATCAGCTGACTACAGGCAGATTTCCAGGCTGACTGGCTGGAAAAGAAAAAAAAAAAACGCGGAGTTCGACGCCGCGCGCAGCACCAAACACTTCCCCAGAAGGGCGCAGCCTGGAGGCGGCCGCGCGCAGGACGCACGCCCAAGGCGCCTGGGCCGCTAGGGACCGACCGGAGCGCTCAAACCCACAGGGTATCTATCAGGCGCGCGTCAGCACGTAAGCAGAGCGCGAGAACGCCCGAGACGGCGGCGCAGCCAATCCCAGAGCAGCGCTCCCCAACGGCCGGCCGGAGGGCGGGGAGAGAGGGGGGCTCGGCCAGAGCCACGCTTCCCATTGGTTGAGACAGCACCGCCCAGCCAAAGCCCCCTTGTCCTCGCGCGGGTGCGCCGCCTGGACTCCCACCCTGGCCAGTCCCGGGCCCACCACCACTCTGGCATCCCCAGCCTGTCCCCGCGGCTCCTCCTCCTTCCCCGGCCCTGTGGCCTGCCTGCTGTCCAGCATTCTTCCCCAGGGCGCTGTGGCGCGGAGGGAGGACTCCCCAAACCCCGGGAACAGAGCCTTGCGGAGGACCCCGGAGGAGGAGGAGGAGGAGGGACGCGGACGGGACTGGGAGATTCGGTCGGGAAGGGGACAGGGCCTAGAGCCCGGGGCTAGAAGGCAGGACACCTGGCTTCGGTCTGGGCTCGGCCTTTGACTACGACGTGACCTTGAGGACGGTTCCTTCCCTTCGTGGGGCCTGGGTCCCCTTCAGTAAGATGCGCCGGCAGGAAACGATGAGTCGTTTCACCTGGGAGCTGCAGGGCCGCGTGTTTAACCCAGGGCCTCCTCCTGCCTGGCACATTATTCCGAATAATAAATGCCAGATCATGCTGCTGGAGACGCCGGCAGAAAAGCCGAGAGGGAGACTCCCTGGGGTCTGGGCGCGATCGGCCATCCTACCCTTACCCCGCTGCGGCCGCAGGGCTCGGCCTGTAGGGCGCGAGCCCCCCTTCCCCACCCGTATCCCGGCTTCGGAGCTAAAGGAACACGTGAGGCCGAACCAAACCGAGTAGAGGGCGCCAGGGAATCCCGCCCGAGCTGCAGAGACGCGGACCCCTCCTCTTACCCAAAACCAAATGGGCAGGGGGCTCCGCTGCAGAGGGCTCGCCGAGGCTCTCGCCTTCACCCGGCGCCGCGCAGGTGCCCGCTCTCCTGCGGGGAGAGCCGAGGGGGGGCGCTGCCGCAGGGTCTTTCTGGAAGCCCCTCCACCAGCACTCCTGCGGCCTGCGGCCTCCGCCACCCGGACGCTTCTACACGCGAAGCGCGCGCTGGGGCTACGCTGGGCGGGGCTCACGGCGGCGTGGCTGTCGGGGGGCCGCCGAGCCGCCTCCTCCGCGCTGGGTGCCCGGCTGGCGCTCCTCCCGCCCAAGGTGCCCTGATCGCTAGGCTCCCGGTGCGGCCGTCTCGCCCCTAAGCCGGGCGCCAGATCCCCCGCCGCCTTCTCGCTCCCCGACCGCTGGGCGGGGGCGAGGGCCAGGGAGATGGAGCCAGGTGCGGAAAGGGTTGCAGCCTCGCGGGCTGAGGCCGGAGGGTGAAGGCGCCGCTCCTTGAAGTGAGGAAAACTCCGGTGAGGAAGAGGCTCTTTCCAGGTCCTGTGCGTGTTGCTGTCTTTAGAGCTCATTAGGGTTGGTTGGTTTTTAAATTTCTTTTGATCAGATGAATTTATTTAAAGGCCGGGGGCGGTGGCTCACGCCTGTAATTCCAGCACTTTGGGAGGCTGAGGCAGGTGGATCACTTGGGGTCAGGAGTTCGAGACCAGCCTGGCCAACATGGTGAAAACCAGTCTCTACTAAAAATACAAAAGTTAGCAGGGCGCGGTGGCGCACGCCTGTAATCCCAGCTACTCGGGAGGCTGAGGCAGGAGAATCGCTTGAACCCAGGAGGCGGAGGTTCCAGTGAGCCGAGATTGCACCATTGCACTCTAGCCTGGGCGACAGAGTGCTCCGTCTCACAAAAACAAAAAAATTAAAGATTTGCTTCTCAGGGTCTTTAAAAATAAATTAAGAATAGCAGTTTCCCAGAGTTTTAATAATAGAACAACGGAGGGCCATCGGCCACAGATAAGGGTTTCCTCCCAACCCCACCCCACTGCGCTATCGCCCTGCGCCAGCACACCTCAGTTTCCAGGATGAGAAACAGGCTGAGGAGAGAAGACACCAGGACACATTAGTGGCGAAGCTACGCGAAAGGAAAATAAACCTTGGGGCCCCCAAATCACTAGGCTAAAGGGGAAAGTCAAGCTGGGAACGGCTTAGGGCCAACCTGCCCCCATTCTACTCAAAATCACCCCCTGCTCACTGAGATAAATGCATATCTGATTCCCCCTTTGGAGAGGCTCATCAGAAACTCGAAAGAATGCGACCATTTGTCTCTCATCTACCTATAACCTGGGGGCTCCCTCCTTGCTTCGAGTTGTCCCACCTTTCCAGACTGAGCCAATGTTCATCTTACATATGTTGATTGATGTCTCATGTCTCCCTAAAATGTATAAAACCGAGCTGTGTCCCAACCACCTTAGGCACATGTCAGGACTTCCTGAGGCCATTTCACTTGCGTGCATTCTTAACTTTGGGAAAATAAACTTCCTAAATTGATCTGGCTCAGATTTTGGGGGTTCACAACTATGTTTAGGTAAAGTACAGAGAAGGAATGAATAGAATGAAGAGAATGAATGAAACTTGCAAATACAGGAAGATGAAAACAGGAGGAGGGAAGTACTGGCATGATGAAGATTTAAAGAAAACTGTAGACCGGGTGCGGTGGCTCACGCCTATAATCCCAGCACTGTAGGAGGCTGAGGCGGGTGGATCACTTTAGGCCAGGAGTTTGAGACCAGCCTGGCCAATGTGGTGAAACCCTGCCCTTCGTAGTGGATGCTTGTAATCCCAGCTAGGTGGGAGGCTGAGGCAGAAGAATTGCTTAAGCCTGGGAGGCAGAGGTTGCAGTGAGCTGAGATGGTGCCACTGCATTCCAGCCTGGGCAACAGTGGGAGACTGTCTCAAAAAACAAACAAACAAATAAAACTGTTGGCTCTGTCTGTCCATTCTGTGAGCTTCTGGAGAGCTAAGGCTATCTCCTTTATCCCCAGCTCCTGGCACATACAGCCTTGAAGACTGGGAGAATCAGGAAGGGAGGATGCACTTAGTTTTCTGTTCCCGTTTCACAGATAGACTCAAGCCTGGATTTGCTCCAGTGACGGTGTTTCAGAACATTAGGCATATAGTACCACAGGGTTAAAAATAAATCACTATACTAAAATTACGCCTTGAGGATTATGCTTTGCTAGAAAAGTAGTTAAAGGAAGAATTCTTCTTTACCCCAAGGGAAAAAACATAGATCCTGACTCTGAGAATTAAACTGAATTGTAGTCCTATTTGCATAAGACAGAAAAGGACATTTGACCTTTCTGAGGTTGTATTACACATCTGGCCTTACATCTTCCCAGCCCAGCTTTGCTGTGACAACCAGGTATGAACAGGTGTAACCTGAGAGCACCTTGCCTCAGCTGCACCTGGTATTCTGCGTCTCTGGCACTGCAACCTGGGACCCTTGCAGGAATCCGCTGTCCACTCTGACACATGAGTAAACCTGGAAGTGCAAAGGAACACCTCAAAGGACAAACTTTGACCAAAGGGCAGGCAGGAACTGCAGGAAAAATACTCTGCTCTTCCAGTCTTCCAGTGGGCAATTCTGAGATATGTTCTATGCAGCTCCTAAAATGATAGCATTCTGTTTGCCCATAGTAGTGACCGACTTGATCAACTCACGAATACACCCTTGGATGCCATTCTCTTTCCCTCCTTCCCTATTTGACTCTTCCCAGCCCTCCCCTCCAATTCCTTGGGATTTTGTTATGTAGCTTTAAATGATTCCGAACACTTTCACTTTTCTGTGAGAGTGATATTGTTTTACTGTGATTAGAACATGCAGGGAACTCTCCCTAGCCAAGGGAATGTCATGTCACACCTTATCAGACCCCGCATGGGAGCTACTGACCTCAACCACTGGACTCCAAACACATAGAAACCCAGGATTTTGACAGACGCTTGGAGAGCTTAGGATGTGGCGAGGCCACTCTCTGGAAGCCTTGAAGCTGTTTTTGAAGCCTTGTCTCACAACACTGGCACCGCTCTCTAGCAGCAAGAGACCTCACGTATCTTCATGGATCTCCATTGTATTAGTCAAGCTGTCCCTCCCGAGAACCTCTCCTAGAAAGTAGTGCCTCAAACTCTGATTGGACTTTGCATCCACAAAAGCCTGCTTTCCATCCTAAGTGGGCAATTGAACTTTTTTTTTTTTTTTTTTGAGATGGAATCTCACTCTTGTTACCCAGGCTGGAGTGCAATGGTGCGATCTCGGCTCACTGCAACCTCCGCCTCCAGGGTTCAAGCGATTCTCCTGCCTTAGCCTCCCAAGTAGCTGGGACAGGTGCCCGCCACCACGCCCAGCTAATTTTTGTATTTTTAGTAGAGATGGGGTTTCACCATGTTGGCCAGGGTGGTCTTGAACTCCTGACCTCAGATGATCTGCCCACCTCAGCCTCCCAAAGTGCTGGGATTACAGGCATGAGCCACCATGCTCAGCTTCAACTGAACTTTAATAATTGGACTCTAAATGAAATTGGAACTCATTCATTATGTGATTAATGTACCTTGTCTGTTGAGTGTATCCCCTGTGAGATTTGTTCTCATTATTCTCCCCCTTTTTAAGAATTGTGAAAAAGAAAGACCTCTTTGTATGGCAATAAACTGTGTGATTCATGAACTCATACTTTGATCTTCTCCTTATTTTAACCATACAAAACAGATTCATTCCCCAAATAAACTACCTATACACAAGTCCTTGCTCAGGCTCTGCTATTTGGGGGAACCCAGATTAAGCCAATGGTTAACCCAAAAGAGACATCTCAGCTTATCTTTCCCAACCCTGCTAAGGAAGAATTTATTTGTTTGGTTTGTGCTTTTTCTCCTTTATTTCCCAAAGGCCCTGCCCCTTAGGGCATCACGAGTGAACTCTGACACAGATAGTAGCAAGAGACTCCCAGGAGAAAGGGCCAACTGAGGAGTTGGGACTGGGTTAAGGGGTCAGACAAAGCCATTCTCAGCCCCACCTTCAACCTTTCCCCACCTTCTACCGTTCTGGTTGTTGACTTTGGAACTGGAGAAACATTCGGCTGTGAGGTTGAACACAGACAGTCTGTGGAAATCAGGTCACTCCCAACACTGCATGCACCAAGATTCTCTCTCCCTCCCCCTACTGTAAAACCACCTCCTCTCTGTTCAGGTACAAGGCCTCAGGCCAGGGTATTCAGCACTCAGCACACTCTCCTCAACCCAGGGAGGTACTGTTTGCAAATTAGCACGTTAGTTTTGGGAGGGAAACAGTCCTTAGTCCCTGCCTTCAAGGAGGTGTGAAAAGTAAAGTAGAGGTGAGTCTTCAAAGACTTTCCTCCCCTCTAATTAGGAATAAATAGTAACTTCTCTTAGAAGCAAAATTTATTCAAAGACCTGTGCTAACATTCTTAAAATCTGCTAGCCTTAATAAAGAAATCATATGTTCTTAGCTCCCACAATTTAGCCTAAATATTTGCCGTGGTGTGCTTATACTGGTCCAAGCAAGCATTAGGTCATAGCCTGTTCCTCTTCCTTATTTGAAGGTGTTTTTACCTTTCTCAGCATTCCACAAGTTACTTTCTCCTTCCTTTGTTCTCCTCTGCCTTTGCCTCTTTTAAAAAGTTCTAAGTTACTAGCCAATCAGGACAAATACAGAATGTGAGGTCCTGTTCCAGCCAATGGAAACCAGACACAGCAGTAGGGCGGATGTGTCAGGTTATAAATGACCCCGTCTGCTTTGTTCTGTGTATGCTCACGGCAAAACTGCTGGTGAGTGTACCCTTTCTGTAGAAAGTATAAAAATGGCCTTGCTGAGGAAATCAATGTTCAAGTGCTATTTCTTTACTGCACCAAGGAACAAGCATTTCAAACAGGTGTGAAAGGAAAATATCTTGGGGCCCCCACATCACTAAGCTAAAGGGAAAGTCAAGCTGGGAACAGCTTAGGGCAACCCAGCCTCCCATTCTATTCAGTCATCCCCCTGCTCACTGAGATAAATGTGTATCTGATTGCCTTCTTTGGAAAGGCTAATCAGAAACTCAAAAGAATGTAACCATTTGTCTCTCACCTACTTGTGACCTGGAACCCACCTCCCTGTCCCACTTTTGCTTCAAGTTGTCCACCTTTCTGGGCCAAATCAATGTTCATCTTACATATGTTGATTGATGTCTCATGTCTCCCTAAAACGTATGACCACCTTGGCACATGTCATCAGGACCTCCTGAGGCTGTGTCACAGGTGTGCATCTTCAATCTTGGAAAAGTAAACTTTCTAAATTAACTGAGACTTGTCTCAGATTTGGGGGGGTTCACATTTTGGTAACCATGGAGGGATTCTGAGTGGAGATGCCCCTGACCTTTGACAGATCTACTGGTCCTTGGTAGCAGCATGAGCTAACCTTACGGCTCAAACCAATAGGACAATTTGCTGAGGTCTGGGAGCACACCCTCCAGAGAATCCTTGATCTCCCCAAATTTGGTCAAGATCTAGAGTTTATTTTTCTGTACAACTCCCCCCCACCTTTTTTTTGGAGTTTTATTTGCTTCCAACAAGGAAGGCAAGATTTCCTCTTTCCATGACGATAGAAGGCAGACAACTCCTTCAGGGAGCTTGAGCTCACTCCCAGCAGGGAAGATGAATTCGAGTTTTTTCCTGCTTTTAGGATGACAAAAAGCAGTCTTCAGCCTGAGACCCATCCCTAGGTAAGTAGCTGAGTTGGGTTTTTGTCTTGGCTAAAGTTTAACAACCAGCTGGTCTGAATTTCTCCTTTACCATTAGAGTGCTCAGTGATCATATTGTTGGGGTTTTGTTGTTGTTGTTGTTTGTTCTGGTTGCTTTCCCATCAGATTTGACCTACTCTTCCAGACTTGGTCCAATCTGAGTGAGAATTCCAAATTACGGGTAACAAAGCCTTTCTAATCTGGCCAAAATTTCTCACAGCTAAAACAAACAAACAAAACAACAACAACAACAACAAAAACATGCACTTGCTTTCTGTGTTTGCTTCCTGTCTTAAAAAAAAAATATTTATTTCATTTACTTTTCTTCTACCCTATACCTCCTTCCCCCTTTGCCATCTGCAGTACCAAAAAAATCTAGAGAAGGCTTCTAATGACTTGAACCCCTTTAAAGAATTCAGAACAAAGGGGCCACTCACCCCTTTTGGAGTGTTGTGTTTTCTCTGTGAAGTTTCAAGAGTCGTGGGCGGATTCTTCTTACATCTAAAGCTCTGTTTTCCTGTATTGCATGACCTGACCTCTTTGGCTTTGGGGGAACCAGAGATGACCTTGCACTGTGAGAGGATTTGACCTTGGAGCATGTAATGGCAGACGAGAACTACAAAGTTACGGGTGGCTGAGCACAGTTTACAGGAAGTGGTCTTGGCTGGTTTCTTTTCTTTTCTCTTCTCTCCTAGGAAATTGTTGTTTAAGGATCCTAATTCTAGTTCGGAGATGCATTCTAAAGGGTCTTATCTATTGCTTTTTCTCCCATAATTAATCTCAATTGTGTTTGTCTGTGTGCATTTGTCTGAGGAACTGAACTGTTGTTTTCATAGGCAAATGAGAAACTGAGTTTTCTGAGCTCCAAAGAGAAAGGACATTTGCTCTTTCCAGCGAAAGGCGTCCCTGGGTGACCAGGGGCCTCGTGGGAGCGTCTGGGGAGTTGACCCCCTGCAACATGCAGTGGCCCTGCAGGGAAATCCCCAGAAAAATTTAATTTTAAAAATGGGTCATCCAGGAAATGCATATAAGGGCTGATCACCTGGCATTTTGAGCCCTCTCAGAGGACATAGACCTCTGGAGAGAGAAGCTGAGATGCATAAGAGGCTGGAAACAACTCAGTGATGACACACTGTGGAGTCCTGCCCACAAGCAGCTCACATCGATCCATGCACAAAAACCCTAGGCCACAGCTCAATTCTTCCTTTTAAGAAAAAAAAAAAGAAGCAGGAAACAATCTGAGAATGAGGAGAAAACAAGGAGAATGACCCCCTTTAGAGCACCTTATTGGTTTTATGGCACCTCTATTTGCCAGAGTAAAATGGAAGTAATACAGTCTTTGTGCAAATTTACATTGAGGAAAAAGAGCCCTAAGGTCAACCTGCAAATTCTAGAGTTCCTAGTCCGTTTTTCTCTATTTTCCTTTCTGCCATGCTTTAAGTCTGCTGTTATTTTTCCACTGAGATAAAACCACTGTTTGGGTCTAATAGTTTTTTGGGTTTTTCTTGCAAGCTGGCAAATTTGTATTTATCTCATGGCTAAAGTACTGGAGTAAAAGTTATAGAATCTGTATGTGTGTATGTGTGTATGTACATGTACACATGTATGTATTTGAAGGCCTTTATGATAGATGTCTATAATTTTATGTCCAATTGTTAATTAAATTCATTTTAATTTCCCTCCAGCTCACCAGACTTTCACTTTGTACCTTACGAGGTAAATTTTGCTGTCTGACTTTTATGTGAGTTGTTTCCTTTAATATGCAAATTTAAGACTATTAGCTGACAAGAAGAAAAAGAAGACCCTTTAGAATGCATCTCTGAACTAGAATTAGGATCCTTAAACAACAATTTCCTAGGAGAGAAAAGAAGAATGAACAAGGAGAGTTTGGAGGTTAAAAGCAAGATGGAGTCAGTTAGGCAAATCTTTTTCACGTCTCTGTTATAATTTTGCAATGATGGTTCCATAACTTTAAATGATGACTATCACAGTTTTCATAAATCATCTAAAACAATTAAAATAATTAGGTGAATGTAATACTTGTAGACAAACTCATAATTTAGAATCTAAAGTTATATTAAATTAAGTAATAGATATTTCATTATATGGGTATTTTCCAATAAAAATATATTTGTAAGAAAACATTCTTTTTAAAAAGTGTGTCATTTTTAAAAAGATGAATAGTTTTTGTCTAATTCAAAGCTTATTTAAAGGTCATGTTTAAAACAATATAAAAGGAACCAGGAAAATAAAAGAGATGTAAAGAAAGTTATGGCTGGGAGCAGTGGCTCACACTTGTAATCCCAGCACTTTGGGAGGCTGAGGCAGGCAGATCACTTGAGGTCAGGAGTTTGAGACCAGCCTGGT
Source organism: Homo sapiens (assembly GCF_000001405.40). NCBI lineage: Eukaryota > Metazoa > Chordata > Mammalia > Primates > Hominidae > Homo > Homo sapiens. The sequence goes on from NC_000003.12 coordinate 197,563,914, forward strand.
CAACATGGTAAAATCCCATCTCTACTAAAAATACAAAAATTAGCCAGGCGTGGTGGTAGGCTACTGTAATCACAGCTACTTGGAAAGCTGAGGCAGGAGAATTGCTTGAACCCAGGAAGCGGAGGTTGCAGTGAGCTGAGATCTTGCCACTGCACTCTAGCCTGGGTGACAGCCAGACTTCATCTAAAAAAAAAAAAAAAAAAAGACAGTTATAAAAATAAAGAGGTTTTTTTTGGTAAGAAAGCTTAAAGATAAATAATTTCATATAAGAAAGAATCTTGTATGGTAAATTTAGTCCTAGAGTAAAATGACTGGTTGCTTAAGAAAGAGGGATGTTCAGGACAAACCAGAAAGTCCAAGCATGTCATGAACAGTCTGTGTAAGTCACAATAAGAGGATTTATTTTAAAAAAACCTATATGATCAAGTTGTCATATTATTATTAAGTTTTGGTTTGCTTAGGGAAAAAACTGAGATTAAATTTTTTTTTTAAGTTAAGGTTATTACACCCATATGTCTCTCTGTATGAGGTTTTAAAGTACTTGTGACATTTAGTTACAGGGCTTTGACTCCTGGGTGTAAAAAAGATACCAAGTCCTGCTAAAGTTTAAACACTGACAGCAATTAAAATCCCATCTTTAGTCTCGGTAGAAAATGCCAATCAAAATAAACTGCATTCCTGAAACACAGGGCCAAAAATTCAAGTCATTCAACTTTCTCAGGAAAGGGGCATGTGAGATTGTAAGAGCCAATGTTGAGAGATAAAATAAGTTCAGTTTCTCTATAAATTAATCATTAATGTCAAAGGCACACTGATGCAAGACCAGCATATGAGCCCATGTCAAATTAACAAGGTTTTTATGAAATATTAACCAACTCCTAAGTAAAGGTTATAAAGGTTATGAAAGGCTTATGGAAGTTATAGCTTATGGTCAAGATTAAAATTTTATAGATTGTTTATAAAATTTTAGAGAACAAATTTAATTGGCTTCCTGCTGTGTTTTGTTTTTTGTTTTGTTTTGTTTTTGAGATAGAGTTTCGCTCTTGTTGCCCAGGCTAGGGTGCAATGGTGCAATCTCCGCTCACTGCAACCTCCACCTCCAAGGTTCAAGCGATTCTCCTGCCTCAGCCTCCCTAGTAGCTGAGATTACAGGCATGTGCCACCACGCCTGGCTAATTTTGTATTTTTAGTATACACAGGGTTTCTCCATGTTGGTCAGGCTGGTCTCAAACTCCCAACCTCGGGTGACCCACCTGCCTTGGCCTCCCAAAGTGCTGGGATTACAGCCATGAGCCGCCGCACCCAGCCAGCTTCCTGCTGTTGTTACTAGGGCTTATTGTTTGGAAAATTAGCTCTCTTTTCTCAAAGAGAAGGTTTTTGCCTTTTTTTTAAATCCTTGAGTTATCACTTTGGTCAAATGAATGACTTATTTTACAATAACCTGTGATATCAAGTGTTCTAAACCTTTGATATTTGATAACCTTTCCAAAATCAAATTATAAATTATGTCTTTTTCTGCTTGAATTAATCCTTTAAGATATTAGGTTTCCTGAAGTCCAAAATGACATAATTTGGCTTATTTGGTATAAAAATCATACAGGAAACTTTGTCAAATATGAAATGGTGTTTGGCTTTCTTTGGGCTGTATTTATATAAATATGTTATTGGTATGTGTTCCAAAATCATGGGAAACTCCTATAATTTTGATATGACTTAATGTACATTATCAGTAATAATTATAATTGTTATGTTAAATTGTTGCTGCCACAGAGATAAGTTTCTTTGTCAGTTGTGTCTTTGACTGTGGCTGCCTTAAAACCTTTTGTCATCCACAAACAATTGTCTTGTTTTGGTCCTCCTTAGAAAGTGGTTTTATAATCAACTATAGAACTCTAACAGGTGTTCCTAGATGCAAGTTTCTGATAACTTTGGAGATTGGAACATTAGAATAGAGAAAAAAACTTTCAGGACTCTCATGGAGAACTGAAATGTTCATGAATGTCAGAACAAAAGCTAACTGCGTGAGCTGATCTAATAAAAGACTAAAGTAATCTTTTAAACTTTTTGCTTAAAATGTTGCTGATCCTTTGTTTTGTTTTTCAGATACAAGAAAACGTCTTTTAAGCTATTTACAGCTTTTAACAATTGAGTGAAGTATACTTCTATGAACAAAATTTAGACCATATTTGTTTCTGTCAACCTGATTTCTCCAAAATTTGGGAACTATGTGTGAGTATTCTTATGACAATACAGTTATTTGCATAAGTGCAATAAGAATCTGTTTTCATTTGTAACAGGACACAATTGGAGAAACTGGTTATTTTACTAAAGTTTTGACTGGAATGGTGTGCTTTCCTTTAAGGATTCAAAATTGACTTATGGAGGCAATAAAAGCCCATTGGATAAACTGCTGTGATACCTTTGTCTACACAGCCATTGTAAAGGGTTCCTGATGTGTCATAAGTAAAGAATGTCACTTTCTGACAGGCCCAGGAGCCCCAAGTTTATCTTGGAACCTCAAGAGGAAAGGATCACTCAACTCATAGGTACCTGATGGCACAAATCCATAGCTGGGCTCAGCTTTAAAAAAATGTCTTATCTGAGATTCCTTCTATGGAACAAAGTTCCATCAAAGCCAATTTAAAAGCCTATGTAAAAAAATAATTACTCTGGCTGCATTGTATACAAATAATTAGGCCAAGTATAGTAAAGCAAACCAGTCCTACCATGATTTTTCTTTAGTACAAACGGGAAACTGAAGAGAGAAACATTATGATTCAAAACTATAGTACAGCAGTTGTTAGATTCTAGTCTTGCCTAACGTTTCTTGATTTTTATTATTTTTTAAAGTTTGAACTGAATTCTAATTTTTCTTGGCTCCAAGTCTTCAAAGTAATTTTTGTTACTTTGTTTTCAATTTTTTTCTTCTTCTTTTCCCATTTTTCCTAATTTGGAGTCACTGAAAACTGAGCTGTGCTTTCATAAAGCCCCACAAACTGAAGCTAGACAACCTTCAGAAGAAAATAATAGCAACCTTATTTACATACATTAGCCACTTTCATACCTACCTACTGATGTATAAACTTCAGAGTAATGTGGCCTATATCGATTTTCCAGGATTGTTCTTTTGTTTGTTGTTGTTTTTCTACCTTCTTCCCCCTGTTTTCTCTTCAAAGGACATGAGACTTCACAACCTTCTAAATATGAGCTTTCCTAATAACTTGGGACCTACCTATCTAGGAATAAACCATCCTAGCCATGAGACACCAGATGAAACCTGGGACGAGGGACTCATTTTCTCCTAAAATGCTTTCTCCAAAAGATTTTAAAAAGAAAAGGAGGGAAACGTGAAAGGAAGATAAATCTTGGGGTCCCAAAATCACTAAGCTAAGGGAAGAGTCAAGCTGGGAACTGCTTAGGGCCAACCTGCCTCCCGTTCTGTTCAAAGTCATCCCTCTGCTCACTGAGAAAAATGCATATCTAATTGCCTCCTTTGGAAAGGCTAATCAGAAACTCAAAAGAGTGCAATTGTTTGTCTCTCATCTACCCGTGACCTGGAAGCCCCCTCCCTGTCCTGCTTTTGCCTCCAGTTGTCCTACCTTTCTGGGCCAAACCAATGTTCATTTTACATATGTTGATTGCTTCTCATGTCTCTCTAAAATGTATAAAACCAAGCTGTGCTCTGACCACCTTGGGCACATGTCGTCAGGACCGCTTGAGGCAGTGTTACAGGTGCACATCCTCAACCTTCGCAAAATAAACTTTCTGAATTAACTGAGAGACCTGTCTGAGATTTTGGGGGTTCATGGAGGGAAATGAGGCACCTGAGATTTTGGGGGTTTATGGAGGGAAATGAAGCATGTATGTAAGCTAAATGAATCATTAGAAGTCCTGTAAGTCTTCTAAAAGAGGGACAAATAAATGTCATCAGAGTTCTAATAAGGGTTCAGGATAGGCTTTGTAGAAGAGGTAGTATCCTGAAAGATTCTCAGTCAGAATGAAGTACCCTAAAAGAGGCCCCTGACCTGAGAGATCATGGTGTTCTCTCCTGTCTGTTTGCCTGCTAGCTCACACTCTCCTCCAATACCAGCTGAATTTAATCATTCCCAGCCCCTCCCTTGCTGGATCTGGCCCTGCCCGGGGTCTGAATGCCCCTGGTCTTCTCTGCCCTCAGTATTAAGTGCTCAGTGTTAATTCAGGACAGTGCAGGTTAAATCCTGCCCTTAGGCAGCCACCTCCAAGTCCTCACAGAGCCAGCGTGCAGCCTGCTTTGCTGAGTTCTGCTGGGCGATAGGGAATAAAAACACTGTCTACTGCCCCAAACCCCACAGTCTTCTGTTTGTTTTGATGCAATTGAATTTTATTAAAGTTTTGTGGGTTTTTTTTTTTTGGCTGGAAATCATACCCTTAATCTGTAGAATTTTATAGGTATTGAGTAGCTTTTTCTGGAATTGACAGCAAAGGAAAGAAGCCCAGTATATTATTCTATGCTGCTTCTAAAACGAAGCTGTGGTGCTCAGAATCTAGTGTGTTGAAAAGAGCCTTTGACAGCTGATCTTAACGTGACTGTAATGCTGAAATCTGTGGATGAATGAGAACTGGAGGAGCTGCCTTTTCCTTGCAGTGAATGAGCAAGTAAAACAAGTGCTTGACCTCAAGGGAAAAAGATGGAGAGTATCAGGCATCCCCACCCACTTTCTATCACTTAACTCTTACGTATTCATTAATTGAGTGTTTGTTTAAGCACAAGCATTTTGTGCATGGGTATGGGTTGTCTGTAAATTTAAGCAATGTTCTTTTGAGGTAACTAGGATCTTGGAAGAGGGAACAATATGAGGATATTTGATTAAAAAAAAAAACACCTCTGCCCATCCTGCCCTAAGCTACAGCAACCCATGCAATTTATTCATTCATTCAGTTTGCACTGATTGAGTCCTTATAATATCTCACTGATTGTGCTATATTCTTAGAGTGGAATCATAAATCAATGCAGGCTCCCTGTTTGCAATAATACTACAATTTAGCAATAAATGGTTCATTTCTATGTACCAGCCACTGTGACAAGTGCCCTCTATGCATTATTTCACTTACTTTTGCAACAATTCTAAAAGTAGCCTAAGATTATTCCCATTTGCAACTGAACACATTGACAGTTAGCAGGTTCAAATAACTTTCCCACAACAATACAACCAGGAAGTGGCAAAGACAGATCCCACCCAAGTCTGTCCTACTCCAAATGCTTTGGGTTAAGCACACCACCAATTGTTCTGAGGTTCTTTCTTTGAAGAAAGGGATTTTTAAAATCCCAGTTTCTGTAGCTATTTGGAGTACAGTTTTTTTTTTCCTTTTTCTAGAGTTACAGGAACTCAGCATGGAGTACAGAATTTTTTATAATCAGCTGGGCATCATTCATGTGGATAATCCAACAGAAGCTGGAATGGCTTTGTTACACAGAAATTTCATTCAATTAGTACAATACAGGTGGCAATTTCTGATGTCTTCAATGAGGAAAAGTTATAGGTTCTGGTTGATTATATTGATATGTTTTGGCTGTGTCCCTACCCAAATATCATCTTGAACTGTAGCTCCCATAATTCCCATGTGTTGTGGGAGGGACCTGGTGGGGGAAAATTGAATCATGAGGGTAGTTTCCCCCATACTTTTCTCGTGGTAGTGAATAAGTTTCTCCCATACTTCTCTCTTGGTAGTGAATAAAAACTGATGGTTTTACAAGGGGAAACCCCTTTTGCTTGGCTTTCATCCTCTCTCTTGTCTGCCACCATGTAAGACGTGCCTTTTGCCTTCTGCCATGATTGTGAGGCCTCCCCAGCCATGTGGAACTGTGAGTCCATTAAACCTCTTTTTCTTTATAAATTACTCAGTCTTGGGTATGCCTTTATCAGCAGCAAGAAAACAGACTAATACAGTAAATTGGTACTGGTAGAGTGGGGCACTGCTGTCAGGGTACCTGAAAATGTGGAAGCAACTTTGGAACTGGGTAACAGGCAGAGGTTAGAACAGTTTGGAGGGCTCAGAAGAAGACAGGAAAAATGTGAAAAAGTTTGGAACTTCCTAGAGACTTGTTAAATGGCTTTGGCCAAAATTCTGACAATGATATGGACAATGAAATCCAGGCTGAGGTGGTCTTAGATGGAGATGAGGCACTTGGGAACTGGAGTAAAGGTGACTCTTGTTATGTTTTAGCAAAGAGACTGGCAGCATTTTGCCCCTGCCCTAGAGATTTGTGGAACTTTGAACTTGAGTGAGATGGTTTAGGATATCTGGCAGAAGAAATTTCTAAGTAGCAAAGCATTCAAAGTGTGACTTGGGTGCTGTTAAAAGCATTCAGTTTTAAAAGGGAAACAGAACATAAAAGTTTGGAAAATTTGCAGCCTGACGCAATACAAAAGAAAAACGCATTTTCTGAGGAGAAATTCAAGCTGGCTGCAGAAATTTGCATAAGTAATGAAGAGCCAGATTGCCAAGATGATAGAGAAAATGTCTCCAGGGTATGTCAAAGACCTTTGTGGCAGCCCCCTCCCATCACAGGCCTATAGGCCTAGAAGGAGAAAATGTTTGCGTGGCCTGGGCCCAGGGGCCCCCTGCTGTGTGCATCTTAGGGACTTGGCACCCTACGTCCCAGCTGCTCTAGCCATGGCTAAAAGGTGCCAAGGTACACCTCAGGCTGCGGCTTCAGAGGGTGCAAACTCTAAGACTTGGCAGCTTCCATGTGGTGTTGAGCCTGTGGGTGCACAGAAGTCAAGAATTGAGGATTGGGAACCTCCACCTAGATTTCAGAGGAGGTATGGAAATAACTGGAGGTCCAGGCAGAATTTTATTGCAGGGCTGGGACCCTCACAGAGAACCTCTGCTAGGGCAGTGAAGAAGGGAAATGTGGGGTTGAAGCCTCCACACAAAGTCCCCACTAGGTTACTGCCTAGTGCGGCTGTGAGAGGAGGGCCACCGTCCTCCAGCCCCCAGAATGGTAGGTCCACTGACAGCTTGCACCATGTGCCTGGAAAAGTCACAGACACTCAATGCCAGCCCATGATAGCAGCCAGGAGGGAGGGTGTACCCTGCAAAGCCACAGGGGCAGAGCTGCCCAAGACCATGGGAACCCACCTCTTGCATCAGCATGACCTGGATGTGAGACATGGAGTCAAAGGAGCTTTAAGATTTGGCTGCCCTGCTGGATTTTGGACTTTCATGGAACCTTTGGCCCCTTCGTTTTGACCCATTTCTCCCATTTGGAATGGGTATATTTATCCAATGCCTGTACCTCCATTGTATCTAGGAAGTAACTAACTTGCTTTTTGTTTTTTAGGCTCATAAGTGGAAGAGACTTGCCTTATCTCGGGTAAGACTTTGGACTGTGGACTTTTGAGTTAATGCTGAAATGAGTGAAGACTTTGGGAAACTGTTGGGAAGGCATGATTGGTTTTGAAATGTGAAGACATGAGATTTGGAAGGGGCCAGGAGTGGAATGATATGGTTTGACTCTGTCCCCACCCAAATCTCATCTTGAATTATAGCTACCATAATTCCCATGTGTTGTGGAAGGGACCCAGTGGGAGATAATTGAATTGTTGAGGTGGTTCCCCCCGTAGTTTTCACATGCTAGTGAATAAGTCTCATGAGATCTAATGGTTTTACAAGGGGAAACCCCTTTCACTTGGCTTTCGTTCTCTCTCTTGCCTGCCACCATGTAAGATGTGCCTTTTGCCTTCTGCCATAATTGTGAGGCCTCTCCAGCCATGTGGAACTGTGAGTCCATTAAACCTCTTTTTCTTTATAAATTACCCATTCTTGGGTATGCCTTTATCAGCAATAAGGAAATGGATGAATACACATATAAACTTTGAAAGATGGCCAAGCATAGTAGTTCATGCCTGTAATCTCAACACTTTGGGAGAACAAGATGGGAGGATCACTTGACCCTAGGAGTTCAAGACCAGCCTAGGCAAACAGCAAGACCTTGTTTCTACAAAAATTTAAAAGTTAGCCAGGCAAGGTTGTGGCAGGCCAGGTCTCCATAATGGCTGAACAGGTAGGCCTCCATAACAACTGTTTCAGCACTGACTGAGTGGTTAGGTTAAATATTAAAAGCTGATAGCATCAGTGCCCTATACAAAGGCTTGAATGTAACAAAAGCCCACCAAGAGTTTTGCCTAGGCCTTTCCTGGGCCTTAAAGCATGACAAAATAATGAAGGAATTCTTAACAGGACCCATTTAGGATTAAACAAGTTTTATTGTGGATCTTAAGGAACTCCCCAGACCTTCACAAACAAGCTTTACTGGGGACTAAAGGAACTCCCCAAAACCCTGTGATTTAGCAGGACACAAGATAAGGGTAATCACCCCAGCACCTTCACCCATTTAGATTAAATGAATTTACGAAGGCTCCAAAGGAAGGCCTTCAGGACTCAGATCTTAGTTATAGATTAGAAGAAGTTAATCACTTACTTATGTCTTTAGATGAATGCACACGTACACATAGACATATAGCTTAGAAGGTATATAAGCTCTGGAAAACTTTGTAATTTTGAATTGTTCTGGTGATATTTTCCAGACCTCCCTGTACCCAGTTACAGCAATAAACTCCCTTCTTTCCCAGTTCATCTGCATCTCATTACTGGGCCGCAAGAATAAGCAGCCCGACCCTCAGTTTGGTCTGGGAACAAGGTGAGGTGTGCCTGACTATAGTCCCAGCTACTCAGGAGACTGAGACAGGAGGATCCCTTGAGCCCACGAGTTTGAGGCTGCAGTGAGGTATGATTGTACCACTACACTCCAGCCCGGACAACATAGCAAGACCCCATTTCTAAATAAATAAATAAACAAACAATTTTGAAAGACAAAATATGTAGTGAGATTCTCAATCCCTAAAACTGATTTGATTTTCTGAACTTCAAATTCTATTTTTTTCAAAGAATATCTAATGTATTACAACAAGCTGTTTTAAAAAACAAGATACAAAACCACATGCTTATTTTGCCTAATTCTTTTTCCAATTATTTTCCCAATGAATACATATTACTTTTTATTTATCCCTATTGCTACCAGGGACAGAGCCTGCTATTTCAAAAAGAAAATCTAATTGCAAAGCTGCTGCCTCTCTGTTTTGGGTTAACAGCACCTCTTTCCAAAGGCCTATTCACGCCTCCCCAACCTCCTCCCTTTCTACCAGGCCTTACCCATGGCTCAAATTTTCTTCTGCTGACCGCTCTCAGTGACAGCCCACATGTTCAAGTTCAGCTGTCTCTCACCTTAGCTGGCAGGTGCCTCAGCACTATCAGCATGCAGGATCCTCTCCAGGCAAGTGACCAGCCGGATCCTCTTAATTCTCAGTTGACAGGGCGTATTGACACCCCTGGAAACCTTTTCCAGGCTTTCTGTGTATTCTTTCAATGCTTGCCTTTAGCTGAGAATGGAAATTCTCACATATGTGTGACAAGTACAGTGGGGGTCAGCGGGGGGTGGGCCTTGGGATGTTTTTGTGTTTGTCCTTGCACAGGCAAAGTTCAACAGCTTTGTAACTGTTTGTTTTAAGCTTAAAATGTCTGTGAGTTTGGCCTTCTGACAAGCAGAGGATCAAGGACAGATGCTGCTGCTTAGGAATACATTAAAAATCAATGATGCCAAAGGGCAGCTCCCACCAACTCCATCTTTAGCTCTCCCTGCCAGGTATGTGTGGGCATAAATTAGCAAGGAACCGGCCTGAACAGGATGAGAAATCTTCAGAGACTGCCCTGAGCATAACCCAGAATCAGGACCTGAGAAAGATTTCAAAATGGCCAAGTGGTTTTTAGATAGGGCCATTTCCAAGAAGAGGCTGGAGACTCAGGGAGGAGTTACAGTTTGAATCTGAAGGCAGATTCAAGAAGGTGGGGCCAAAGCCATACCCCTTGAATGTCACAGTGGAGGTAAGGAAGAGTATGTCTGAAATACAGGAGATACCATAGGACGTCTCTCAGTATTCCCATGCCCTGTGATTAAAGTCAGTGGAAAATTACAACAACCCAATCCAGGCAGAACTACTAATGACCCCAGACCCTTTAGGAACGAGGGTTCTGGTCACCTCACCAGGCAACGATCCATGGCCACTCAGGTGCTTGCTGAGGGCAAAGGGAATATGGAATGAGTAGTGAAATAAGATAGTTATCAATACCAGCCACAACTACATGACCAGGTATAAAAACCAGAACTGTAATTGTCATGAGTGTTTCTTCCTTATTTTGTTATGAATATGTTAGTGTGCGTATAGCACCTTTGTTTTCTTCCCTTTCGTATTCATTTATCGTGTAACATAAGATGCATTACTTTATCTCATAGAATTTAATATTGCTAACTTTACATCATAGTGTTTAAGTTACAGGATCTCAAATAAGTAAATATCACCTGTGAACCCTCAAAATGAGACAAGTCTCAATCAATTTAGGAAGTTTATTTTACCAAAGCTAAGGACGCACTCCTGTGATACAGCCTCAGGAAATCCTGACGACGTGTGCCCAAGGTGGTTGGAGCACAGCTTGCTTTTATACATTTTAGGGAGACATGAAACATCAATCAACATATGTAAGATGAACATTGGTTCCCTCCGGAAAGGCAGAATAACTTGAAGCAGGGAGGGGGCTTCCAGGTCATAGGTAGATAAGAGACAAATGGTTGCATTCTTTTGAGTTGCTGATTAGCTTCTCCAAAGGGGCCAGCAGAATATGCATTTATCTCAGTGAGCAGAGGGGTGACTTTGAATAGAATGGGAGGCAGGTTTGCCTTAAGCAGTTCCCAGCTTGATTTTTCCCTTTAGCTTAGTGATTTTGGGGCCCCAAGATTTATTTTCCTTTCACACACCTAAGGACTTTGTATCCTCTTCTGGGAAAAGGATTAGTGCAGTAGGATGCAGTTGTAGCAAGGATAGTTGTGTCATGTTAGACAGAACTACGATCTTGTTATTGTCTTTACTTGAAGGTGAAGTATGATTTAAGGAGAGATGTGTGGGTCCCAGATTGACAAGGAGCAGACTGGTGATGATTAATTTTACATGTCAACTTGGCAGGAGTGAAAATTGTAAATTCTTTTTCTGTAAAGGTTTTATTATGCAGAGGAGGGGCTCAGTCCTTGGCAGCTGCTTTCCTCATGGCGGCTCAGTACCCAGATATTTGGTCAAACTGATAGCCACGGGATGCAGCCAAATGCATTGGCAGGTGGGGGTGGGTCCCTGGTGAAACCCCACCTTCCAGCCAAAAACAGAGCTGAAAGGCTGGACTGCTGGTCCCAGACGAAACCCACGACTCAGACTTAGAACTTCTGTTCCTGTTTGCCCACCCTTTCCTGATTGATTCTTTCTGAATAATGCCTTTTAACCAGTTGAATGTTGCCTTTTCCAATACTACCTATGGCCTGCCCCTCCCCTATTCTGAGCCCATAAAAAGCCCCAGACCCAGCCACTTGGGGAGGTGAGAACCACCCGACTGTGGGGCTGGGGGGCCACCCCCTATGTCCCCTCTCCGCTGATAGCCATTCCGTCACTCAATAAAATTCTTCTCCACCCCCATCACCCTTCAATGTCCAGTATATCCTCATTCTTCTTGGTGTGGTACAAGAGCTCGGGAACCATTGAATGCAGGTACAACCTATAACACAGGCAAGCTGGGGCATGCCAGCCTGGCTGAGGGAGGTCTGGACAGGACATCGCCAGCTGGGGGTTTCCAGCTTGCAAAGTGACCAAGAACAAAAATCCTACCTCAAAACATTATTCTGGTTGTTTTTGTGAAGGTGTTTTTTGAATGAGATTTGACTGATGGAATTTGAGTAAAGCAGTTACCTCTATAATCTGGGTGGATTTCTTCCAATCAGCTAAAGGCCTTAATGGAAAAAGACTGACTTCCCCAGGAAAGGAAGAAATTCTGCAAGCAGACTGCCTTCAGATTCAAACTGTAACTCCTCCCTGAGTCTCCAGGGTCTTAGCCTACTCTACAGATTTTGGACTTACCATGCTGTTACAGGAAAGGGGTCCCAATCCAGACCCCAGGAGCAGGTTCTTGGATATCATGCAAGGAAGAACTCAAGGTAAGTCCATAGAGTAAAATGAAAGCTAGTTCATTAGGAAAGTAAATGATTTTTAAAAATGGCTACCCCATAGGCAGAACAGCCCTGAGGGCTGCTGGTTGCTTTTTTTTTTTTTTTTTTTTTTTGGCTATTTCTTGATGATATGCTAAACTAGGGGTGGACTATTCATGCCTCCCCTTTTTAGACAATTTAGGGTAACTTCCTGATGTTGCCATGACATTTGTAAACTGTCATGGCGGTGGTGGGAGTGTAGCAGTGAGGACCACCAGAGGTCACTCTCATGGCCATTTTGATTTTGGTGGGATTTAGCCGGCTCCTTTACTGCAACCTGTTTTATCAGCAAGGTCTTTATGACGTGTATCTTGTGACCTCCTATCTCATCCTGTGACTTAGAATGCCTAACCATCTGGGAATGCAGCCCAGTAGGTCTTGGCCTTATTTTACCCAGCCCCTATTCAAGATGGAGTTGCTGTGGTTCAAATGCCTCTGACAAAGCCTCTACAGTCGTATGAGACAATTTCTAAACTCTCTCTTTCTGTCTCTCTCTCTCCACACACACACACACACACACACACACACACACACACACACACGCGCACACACACCACTGTATATAGACTGGTTCTGTTTCTTTGGGGAACTCTGACTGATATACTCACTCAGTGTGGTCTGCTTCCTAGACTGGAGTCTGATACAACGTTGAAATAGATTCCTCTGCTGTGGAATTGGTCTGTCTGCGACCTGGAGCATAAGTCAGGTAGGGGCCTGGTCTCAGGCCAAACAGGACATGTGAAACTTGCTTTTCACCCCCTCCACCCCCTGGGGTCTCTGTAGTCCCTGCCATCCAGGTGCTCACAGCCCAAGGAAGGGAACAGACACATCCGCAGCTTCCTCCCTTCCAGGACAGCTTGGGCCCAGTGAGGCAAGTGAGGCATAGCCATGGAGCTCTGGGACGGGGAAGGAACTACTCCTCCAGCGTGGGGAGGGTCATGTAAATTAGGCAAAGCCATGGAGCTCTGGGATGGGGAGGGAACTACTCCTCCAGCTTGGGGAGGGTGATGTAAATTAGGCGTAGCCATGGAGCTCTCAACGGGGAGGGAGCTACTCCTTCAGGTTGGGGCGGGGAGGAGGGTAAGCTGCAGGAGACAAGGATGGCCAGGGAAGCTTAGTCCACGTTCACCGGCCTTTGTTCAGAGGGCACTGGAGGTGCATTAACTTTACACAAAAGCATCTCAAAGACCAAAAAGCCCTCAAGACCTAAAGAAGTGAGTCTCAAATGGTGGTGTTCCAGGTTCCTGAAAGAGATATTTTGAACAATGGGGCCTTCCCAAGCATCCCCCAGACCAAAACATATTATTAATTGGCAAAAAGAGAAAAAGAAGATCTCAATTAAATAAAAAGGAGCATGACTACTTTCAGTGTCACCCTTCCTTCTCTCACCATTGTCTACCAGCTCCGTCATTACCCGTTTTCCTCAAAGATGTTTGCTTCAGCCTCTCCCATCCTTTCCCCTCCCTTCTCCCCGTTCAGTCACCCAGACGCTCTCCTGTTCACCACTTACACGCAGCTCCCTGGTGCATCCCTCTGCACCCAGCATTACAGGGAGGCCGGGGGAGGAGCTAGCAAGGACCGGATCACCAGGGGGTTGCTGTCAGGACTACCCTTTCCAGCAGCTCCAGGTGGTACCTTGGGACCTGCCCAAAGGCAAACACTTGGAGAAGGTTCTGTCTCAGGAGGGTGATGCAGGCTGTGAACAGGGTGTCCGCTGTGGCCTGAGCCAGTGGCCAGACTGGAAGGAGGAGAAATGAAGAAGCTGAAGAGAAGAGACTGGGGAATGGCTGTGGGGGAGGCTGGGGAGCTTATCTCCTCCAGGTAATGTGTCTTCAGGGGCGTCTCTCTGACTCACGGCAGATTCACTGGGTAATGGGTGTGTTCTTAAGGCAACGCAACCACCCAGCAACACGTCTTTTTTAGGAAGCCCTGGCCAGCCAGGGTATCTCTAGGTTGTCCTGGTTTAGCATTGCCTCCTAGCCGGAGACTTCTTGAGGCTGACTAAAGGTTGCTGGAAGCTTTCTTGCTTCTTCATCCCTCCTACTTCCTCAGGTTCTGCAGCCAGGCTCCAGTGCAGGAGAAATTCAGCTTCCCTCGCTCAACATCCTGCTTCCTCTCTCCAATCATTAGGTCAGGTCTGGGGAGATGAAGGATGTAGGACACAAGTTGGGGTCAATTAGGGGAAGTCAAGGAGAGTATGGGGCATGAGGAATGCACAATAGGGATATTGGGGAGAGCTGGAAACAAAAGACCACCAGATTGAGTAGCCTAGTCTCCCAGTGCTGACTGAGCTAGAAGGCAAGGCTCAACTGGCAGTGGGAAGAGAAGTGAGTTCAGACATGCCAGGCTGTCCTTAGAGGTTATCCCTTGAATGGCTGCGTATCATCCTCATGATGTGAGGCTGTGGCTGCCACAGCAGGGGAGCGTGGAAACCGTGCTTGCAGGAAGAGTGTGTTCTTCACGATGTGAGGCTGTGGCTGCCATAGCAGGGGCCCGTGGAAACCATGCTTGCAGGAAGAGTGTGTTCTGACAAGCAGAGGCTGGCTCAGGAGATAAGCCCCCACCCCCACACAAAAATAATAGAGCTCCATCCAGAGTTGAGGGGACTGCAGCCAGAAGGCAGAGTTCAGAGTCATATCCCAAAGGGTGCCAAAGAGAGACATCCCATCAAGACACTGCAATGGCGAGGACAAAAGGCAGGAAAAAGAAATGAAGTATAAATAAAAGAAGACAAACCACCATTACTCAGGTACTAACTAGTATTATTAACCCAGAATATTTAGGAAAGTCAGCGCTAAAATTATTAGAATAATAATGGAATTCAGGAAATTGGTTGAATACAAAACAAATGCAGGGAAAAATTAAAAGCTTTCCCATTCAGAATATATAGTAGAAGAAATGATGAAAGTCACAATGGTAATAAAACCTAAAGACAACAAGAAAATGTAGAGTCATAAAGAATGTATGTCATCACTGAGAGACATGAAAGATGGATTGAAAATAAGGAGATGGGCCGGGCGCGGTGGCTCACACCTGTAATCCCAGCACTTTGGGAGGCCAAGGTGGGCAGATCACCTGAGGTCGGGAGTTCCAGACCAGCCTGACCAACATGGAAAAACCCCGTGTCTACTAAAAATACAAAAACTAGCTGGGCGTGTTGGCACATACCCGTAATCCCAGCCACTTGGGAGGCTGAGGCAGGAGAGTCTCTTGAATCCGGGAGGCAGAGGTTGTGGTGAGCCGAGATCATGCAACTGCACTCAGCCTGGGCAACAAAGTTAGACTCCGTGTCAAAAAAAAAAAAAAGAAAGAAAGGAAAAAGAAAAATAAGGAGATATACCATGTTTTCAGATAGGAAAGCAACACTATAAAAGATGGATCTCCCCCCCATATTTATCTAGAATTCAGTGCAGCTTGGAGGTGGGAGTGGCAGAAGGAAATGTGATCAATTGATTCTGATGGATAAATATGCAAAATTATGCAGGAAAACATTTTAAAATGCATCATAAGATAAAAACATACTACAAAACTACGCTAATTAGACAAGTATGTAAAAACATTTTTTGAAATAAAACTTTTTTAATTAAAAAGACAATGACATGGTGCTGGTACGTGTATAGAAAAAGCAGATTAATGAAACAAATAGGCAGTTCACAAACAGATCCACAAATTAATGAAAATTTAATACACAAGTAGAGTGGCATTACCAATGAAAAAGATTGTTTAATGGCGTAGAAACAATTGTACATTTATATATCACACACATAATAAATTCTACATGAATTAAAGATCAAAAAATAAAAACTAAGACTATAAAAATACTATGAGAAAATATAAGAGACTATTTCTATAGTCTTGAGGTTGGAAAGGATTTGCTAACTCTGACACAATATCCAGGACACATGGAAGCGAAAGATTAGACGACTCAAAAACCTAAACTTTTGTGCAAGAGCGCTACCATTCACATCATTGCCAGGGAGAAAACATTTGCAACGTACATAAAAGATAAGAGTTAAAAATTCACAAACGTAAAGTGTTTCTACACATGAATAAGAAAAAGAGAAACAAACTAATTGAGAAAATACACAAAGGATAAATAAATCACAAAAAAGAAAAGCATCGCTAATAAACCTAAGAAGACACACTGAATTATGATGAATCATAATTTTAAAAACGCAAAATAAAAAAATTTTTGGCAATCAAATTGGTGAAGATGAAAAACACTGGAGACAATGAGGTGCTGGCAGGAGTGAAAATTGCCATCTTTTGTTCTGTAAAAAAAGGTTTTGTTATGCAGAGCAAGGGGAGCTCAGTCCTTGGCAGCTGCTTTCCTCATTGTGGCCAGGACGTCACTCAGCTCCTCTCACCTCCTCTTGGTGTGGATGTGTGTCCCCACCCTTTTCTTGATGAACTTGAGGGCCCATTTGTCTTTGGAGACCTTGAGCAACTCCATGGCATGCCGCGCATTCAGGGCAAAGCCACGCACCTCTCAGATCATGTCCTGCTGAACTTGGTGAGTGTGCCTGAGCTTGCTTACGTTGCTGATCACCTGTGCCCTCGCTGAGGCCCTCAGCCGGGGGGTAGTACAGAGCCATGGCTGCTGCTCTCCGATGGCTGATGTGTTGGAAGAGTGAAAACCGCAATAGGTTTTGAAAATAATTTAGCAGCATGCATGATACCCATTGACTCAGCAATTCCATTCTAGGACTCTAGCCTACAAAAATAGTAACATGTGTCACAAAGATGTGCATACATAGGTATTCGATGCAACAGAAAAAAATGGAAAATAACTTAATGATGGAATGTTTAAAGAAATGATGGTCCATCTATACCAAAAATATCATCTGCCCATCAGGCTGCTCTTCTGGGATGGCCCTTCCTTGCATCCTGGCCTTCTCCATGCCCCAACCCTTTGTACCTGATTCTTGTTGGAACGACTCTACCTTCCTGGCCCCAGCTGATTAATTCTAGTGTTCCCTTGATCCATGGCAGGCCAATCAGAGCCAATGAGAAAGAGCCAATCTAAAGATATATAATATTAAGCTCAGAAGGGATCCTGAGCTCAAGATAGGAGGCCTCTTAGAAACCACATTCCCCCCCACCCGTTCACTGAGGCACCAAAAAAAATATCCATCAAGATTCTCCAAGGTAATCAGAGGAGCAAAAAATTTGACATTTGGGGAATAAGGCGGCCCCAACTCTCACCTCCAGAGTTCCCCTCCCCGTAGGTATCCCCCTGCATTGCTACTACCACCCCAAGCTGTCCTCAGGAGGGACTGCTCTCCACTACCTTTCCACCCAGGCACAGGTGCAGACCTCATTTGAATGGGGTCTGGGAGAGCAGAGTTGTTCTGAAACCAGGCTAAGACATTTGTGCAGTCTTGGCCAAAGGCTCAGAGCTAACTGAAGGGAATCTCACACATGTGGTAAGGCAGCCTCTGATTCTGGAGGTGATAGCAATGGAGGGACCTGAGAGATGCCACAAGCACAGCCTAATGCGGAGAAGTTCCTGGGGACAGCCACTCCGATCTACGCCCATCTTTCCTGGGGTCAGCCACTCCGATCTACGCCCATCTTTCCTGGGGTCAGCCACTCCTATCTACGCCCATCTTTCCTGGGGACAGCCACTCCTATCTACGCCCATCTTTCCTGGGGACAGCCACTCCTATCTACGCCCATCTTTCCTGGGGACAGCCACTCCTATCTACGCCCATCTTTCCTGGGGACAGCCACTCCTATCCACGCCCATCTTTCCTGGGGTCAGCCACTCCGATCTACGCCCATCTTTCCTGGGGTCAGCCACTCCTATCTACGCCCATCTTTCCTGGGGACAGCCACTCCGATCTACGCCCATCTTTCCTGGGGACAGCCACTCCGATCTACGCCCATCTTTCCTGGGGACAGCCACTCCTATCTACGCCCATCTTTCCTGGGGACAGCCACTCCTATCTACGCCCATCTTTCCTGGGGTCAGCCACTCCTATCCACGCCCATCTTTCCTGGGGACAGCCACTCCTATCTACGCCCATCTTTCCTGGGGACAGCCACTCCTATCTATGCCCATCTTTACCTAAGCTTTTGGGATTTCTCTAGCATTTCTGCTCCCTGAGGCTGGGTGAGACAAAAAGCAAGTGTTCTCTTTTTCCTGGTTCTGAGGGCAGAAAGCCAAAGGCAAGCCCTGAAGAACGGTAGAGCCCACTCTTCCTGGCTGTTCTTTACTATCTGTCAGTTCTCTGAGGGAAAGGATCTTCAAGGAAAGCACATCACAGGGACAAAGTTGTGAAAAAGTTCTACTCTGGAGTCTAATAAGAAATGAATGGCCAGGCGTGGTGGCTCACACCTGTCATCCCACCACTTTGGGAGGCTGAGGTGGGTGGATCACCTGAGGTCAGGAGTTTGAGACCAGCCTGGCCAACATGGCGAAACCCCGTCTCTACTGAAAATACAAAAATTAGCCGGGTGTGGCAGCACACACTTATAATCCCAGCTACTTGGGAGGCTGAGGCAGGAGAATAGCTTGAACCCGGGAGGCGGAGGTTGCAGTGAGCTGAGATCGCACCACTGCACTCCAGCCTGGGAGACAGAGTGAGACTCCATCTCAAAAAAAAAAAAAAAAAAAAAAAAAAATTAACATTTCAGTAGATCTACACACTTCTCAAGTCAAAAAGTGGTATCCAGTTCCTGCCACTACCTAGCTGTGTGGCCTTAAGCCTCTCCCACTGGACCTCTAGCTCTGTGTTCACAGAATGACAAGCCAGGCTTCGGTAAGACTGAAGATCGCTCAGAGTTCTCATTTCCATTTTTTTTTTTTTTTTTTTTTTTGGAGATGGAGTCTCAATCTGTCACCCAGGCTGGAGTGCAGTGGCGCGATCGCAGCTCACCGCAACCTCCACCTCCCAGGTTCAAGCGATTCTCTTGCATCGGCCTACCGAGTAGCTGGGATTACAGACGTGCACCACCACACTTGGCTAATTTTTGTATTGTTAGTAGAGACAGGGTTTCACCATGTTGGCCGGGCTGGTTTCAAACTCCTGACTTCAAGTGATCTGCCCACCTTAGCCTCCCAAAATGCTGTGATTACAGGCATGAGGCACCGCGCCCGGCCATGATTCCCACCATTTTTTGCCAGCCTGATGCCTGTTCAAGTCCCCAGGAGATGCGTATCTTGGGCACGTGAGCTGGAGACAAGACAGAAAGCCTGAAAGGAGCCGAGCATCCATTCCCAATAGGAAGCAGCGCTTGGGAGAAACTGCAGTGAACCAAACCGGTGAGAGGCTGGAGCTCTCCACCTAACTGATAATCAAGCTGCACGTTGAGTTAATTGTCTAATTAAATATCATCTAACAATTTATCACCGAACATTTTAGGTACATAAGACTCCCTCAAATATCATGAGCTTCTGCCGGTGAGGAGTGACTTGCCGTATTTGCAGTCGTAATTGCTTTGCCACTCTGCTAGGAGAAATTAATCTGACTGTGACAACTTAGTTTTGGCCAGGAACAGTAACACATTCCATCTAATGGACTTAAATTAATTAGAATCAGGCTTTGCAAGATGCCTCTAAAATCTATGGCTGAACAAATACGGGTGCCACACAGTGGTGGACACTTGTTCTCTTAATAAAATTACTGTATAAAAATGCACCATTTTGCTTCCGAATGCTCAATGGAATTTAAAGCGGTAGCAACCTCAGTCCTTACAGGGTGTTTATAACCTTGCTTCTTGACCACTACTCTATCTCTCAAGTCCTTTGGATACTCCAAGCTGTATTTTTGTTTTCTTTTTTTTTTTTTTTTTTTTCTGAGACAGAGTCTCACTCTGTCACCAGGCTGGAGTGCAGTGGTGCAATCTTGGCTCACTGCAACCTCCACTTCCTAGGTTCAAGCAATTCTCTGCCTCAGCCTCTCCAGTAGCTGGGATTAAAGGTGCCCGCCACCACACCCATTTAATTTTTTGTATTTTTAGTAGAGATGGGGTTTCACCATGTTGGCAAGGCTGGTCTTGAACTCCTGACCTCGTGATCCACCTGCCTCAGCCTCCCAAAGTGCTGGGATTACAGGCGTGAGCCACTGCGCCAAGCCCAAGCTAAGTTTTAGAGGTCTTTGAGACCCAGGCCAAAGGACTGCCCTGGAAAAGCAGTGACTCTCTCCAAGATCCAGGTCTATGGTGGCAGGGCCAGCTGGCAGGAGAGTCAGGGCTTGGCAGCTTCTTCTGCAAGATGCATCTGTGCTTCCTGCCACTACCAAGCCACCTGGCTCCTGAACGATGTAGCCTGTACCATTTACCAATGAGCTTTGAATACTCCTGCACTTCTCATGGCATTTGTCCAGAGTCATGCATCTTGACCTGTCCCCAAGTCCATTCTAATCTGTCCTAAACTTCCCAGCTCGTGTCTTATTTTACTGTCTTTGGACTAATCTAACCTACTCTTGTGTATGTTGTTTTATTATTTTTTTGGGGGGATGGAGTCTCACTGTGTCACCCAGGCTGGGGTGCAGTGGCACCATCTCGGCTCACTATACCGTCCTCCTCCCGGGCTCAAGCAATTCTCAGGCCTCAGCCTCCCTAGTAGCTGGGATTACCGGCATGCACCACCACGCCCGGCTAATTTTTGTATTTTTAGTGGAAACAGGGTTTTACCATGTTGGCCAAGCTGATCTCGACCTCCTGACTTCAGGTGATCCACCCGCCTCAGCCTCCCAAAGTGCTGGAATTACAGGCATGAGCCACCATGACCAGCCTAATCTAACTTTCTCTTTAAACCTAATGCTTTTCACCCTTTCTCACATTTTTGCATTCATTCTACCCAACTCCTTCCAGGTGTTCCCAGGCCTTGCAGGTGTTCCCAGCGGTACTGGGGAAGAGGGGCTTCTTATCATGGGAGAGATCTCTGAAGCAGAGGGACATCAGGGGCCCTGATCTGAAAGGGAGCATCGGTCCACAGTGAGGTGTCTTAGAGACGATGCAGCAGCAACAGGCCCTCACGTCTGCCCCCGCTTCTGGGCATCTGCCCCTTACAGAATATCCACATTCCATTGGCCCCAGCACCTCCAGACCAAACACCAACCTTGAAATGTTGTCAGTGAGACTTAAGTTTTTCAGGTCCTTGGTAAACACAAAACCACCTGCCTTTTCTATTCCTCCTGCCTCTGTCCTCCTCCTAAAGTCATACTGTCCCTTTTGGGGGGTCTACAAATACAAATTCTTTCATTTCACTCCCTTACGCCAAAAGGAGAGCTTCAGTCATTCAACACAAATTTATTGAGCACTTACTATTTGCCAAGTATTAGTCTAAGTACTGGGGATAGCTGGAAAAAAAAACACACAAATCTGTGCATTTGCGGAGCTTAAATTCTAATGAGGGAGACAGAAAATAAGATAAAGAAATGAAGATTAACAGTGCAAATGGTAATAATAAATTCTAAGGATGAAAACAAGAGGGAAAGGAAGATAGGAAGTTACTAGAGATGAAGGGTTGGTGGTGCAGTTTTAAACAGTCTCAGTCCAAATGCAATATTTAAACAAAGACTTGAAAGAGATGGAGTAGTGAGCCACACAGATATCTGGGGGACAGGAATAGATCCAAGATTTGTGGGACCCTATGTTGATACAACTTTGAGAGCCTCTTTAAGAAATAGAATATGAAATTATCAATACAAAAGTGGGTACAAGGCCTTGGGAGGGCCCATGTCGGTAAAGGGTGAGAAGTTTATGCTCCATTAGTCTATTGGTAATTCTGCTTCTGCTGGAGGAAGAGCATCCCATGTAGAGAGAAGAGCAAGTGCTAATGGCAGGAGCTTGTGCAAGGAGCATGCACCATGAGTTAGAACAGCACCAGGAGGCCAGGGTATCTGGAGTGCACGAATGAGAGGCTGCAGAGGAGGAGACATGATCAGAGAGGTAGTGGAAGCCAGATTACATAGGATGACGCCCAGGTTGAATGCAGTGGCACCATCTCGGCTCATTGCAGCCTTGACCTCCCAGATCAAGTAATCCTCCCACCTCACCCTCCTGAGTAACTGGGACTACAGGCAAACACCACTACACCCGGCTAACTTGTTATTTTTTGTAGAGATGGGGTCTCACTATGTACCTAGGCTGGTCTCAGACTCCTGGGCTCAAGCGATCCTCCTGCCCGGGCCTCCCAGAGTGCTGGGATTACAGCTGTGAGCCACTGCTCCCAGCCACTGGCAGTTTTTGGGCAGGCGAGTAATATGAGCTGACTTTGATTTTAAAAGAATCTGTCTGGCTGCTATTTGGAGAATATGCTGAAGCATGTCAAGGATGGAAGCAGGAGACCAGTTAGGAGCTAGTTGGAATAATTTAGGAGAGAGCAGATGGTGGCTCAAGCCAGGGTGCAGGCAGCAGAGGAGTGAGAAGTAGCTCATCTGAGCACCCTCAGAAGATACAGTCCACAGGATTTGCTACTGGATCCTTTCTGGGTAAAGGAGAAAGAGAGATATCGAGGATGACTCTGAACATTTTGTCCTGAGTAACTGGAAGGATGTATTTCCATTAACTGAGAAGAGGGAAATTTGTTTTTGTTTTCATTTTTTGAAACAGAGTCATACTCTGTTGCCCAGGCTGGAGTGCAGTGGCGTGATCTTGGCTCCCTGCAACCTCTGCCTCCCGGGTTCAAGCGATTCTCTTGCCTCAGCCTCCTGAGTAGCTACAATTACGGGCTCCCGCCACCACATCCAGCTAATTTTTTTTGTATTTTTTAGTAGAGACGGGGTTTTACCCTGTTGGCCAGGCTGATCTCGAACTTGTGACCTCAGGTGATCCACCCTCCTTGGCCTCCCAAAGTGCTGGGATTACAGACGTGAGCCACTGTGTCCGGCCTCTTTTTTTTTTTTTTTTTTTTTTTATGAGTAGGAATAGGTAATTATTAAGCTAGATGTGTCCAGTTTACCAGAAAGGAAATTGAAAGGATTTATAGCATCTATCTTTAACTTGCCAGTCTATCTTCAAGTGATATTATAGTGTACACTAGAGTATAAGAACCCAACACGGCGAAACCCCGTCTCTACTAAAAACACAAAAATTAGCCGGGCGTGCTGGTGCGTGCCTGTAATCCCAGCTACTGGGGAGGCTGAGGCAGGGGAATCGCTTGAACCCGGGAGGCAGAGGCTGCAGTGAGCCGAGATCGCGCCACTGCACTCCAGCCTGGGCGACAGAGCGAGACTCCGTCTCAAAAAAAAAAAAAAAAAGAACCATACAATAATCCAATTCCTCCCCTCTTGACCTTTCTGCTGCCATTTTTACACTTACTTATGCCACAAAGCCTAGGCAACATTGTTCTTAGTTTCATTTAAACATTTATCTTTTAAAGAGATTTAGACAATAAGGAAAAGAACTTCTCTATTTACCCACGTAGTTGCTCCTCATTCCTTTGTATATACTCGTATTTTCATCTGGTATCATTTCCTTCTGCCTAAAGGACTTCCTTTAACCTTTCTTGTTGTGTGGGCACTTGGGATAAATTCTTTCAGCTTTTGCATGTCTGGAAAAAAAGACTTCATTCCACCTCCTTCATTTATAAAGGATATTTAAGCTGGTTATGGAATTCTAGTTAACAGGATTTTCTTTTCTTGCTGTACTTTAAGGGTTTTGCTTAAGGATTTTCTTTCCTTTTGCCTTTTCTTGTCTTTTCTTTTCAACATATGGGGTCTCATGTATTACCCACGCTGGCCACAACTCCCGGGCTCAAGTCGTCTTCCCGCCTCAGCCCCCCGAGTTGCTGGGACCATGGTGCGTGCCAATGCACCAGGCTTTCCACTGTTTTCTTGCTCACGTGTTTTTCCAATGGGAAATCTGGTGTCATCTTAATCATTGTTCATGTATACATCTTCCTGTTCCTTTGATTCTTTTTAAGGTTCTCTATTGAACATTGATTTTAAGCAATTTGATTGCGATGTCCCTTGGTGTCATTTTCTTCACATTTCTTATGCTTGGGGTTCATTGAGCTTCTTGTATTTGTGGGTCTGTAGTTTTAATCACATTTGGATTTTTTTTTTTGCCATTATTTCTTCCAATATATTTTTCTGTTCTGTCTTACTTTTACTTTCCCTGAAACTGATTTTTGACTAGTCCATATGTAATGACATGTCTAAAATGTGCTGGAAAAAAGCATGGGTTTTTCTTTAAAGATCTCCCAGTGAGTTAGTTTAGTTGTTTGTTTGTTTTTTGGCAGTCACATTGGCTAAAGTGAGGTTTAAATATATATATATATATAAGTAGAATGTAAATAACTGCTATTCTTAAAAAAGAAGCAGCTGAGGTAAGAGGATTGTTTGAGGGCAGGAAGTTTGAGAGATCAGCCTGGGCAATGCAATGAGACCCTGTCTCTCCAAAAAAAATTAAAAGTGAGCTGGGCAGGCGCAGGGGCTCCTGCCTGCAATCCCAGCAGTTTGGGAGGCCGAGGCAGGAGGATCGCTTGAGCCCAGGAGTTCAAGACTACCCTGGGCAACATAGCAAGGTCTCATCTCTACAAATACAAAAATTAGCCAGGCGTGGTGGTGTGTGCCTGTGGTCCCAGTCATGTGGGAGGCTGAGGTGGGAGGATCACTTGAGCCTGGGATACTGCAGTGAGCTATGAGCATGTCACTACACTCCAGCCTGGGGGAGAGAGCAATACCTGTCTCCCAAATAAATAAATAAAAATTTAAAAAAGAGAAGAAGAAAGAAGTGAAAAGGAGAAAAATGATGAATAAATTTGAAAGCAGAAAATATTTAAACATTTATATGGGAAAAAATACATGTTAACATGTGTTATATTTATACTTATATTTTTACAGGTTATAAATATATACTATATATTTATGTATGTAAATATTTGTATTTCATATATTTGTATATTTTAGACATATCCTAAAGGATATGAAGAGATAAATGACAAAAAGTGGGGAGGAGAATATTTGCAACACATATGACAAAGAGCTAATTAACTTAATACACAAAGACCACTTAATATACAAAGATAAAAAAAATGTTGGGCTGAGCGTGGTGGCTCACACCTGTAATCCCAGCACTTTGGGAGGCCGAGGCAGGTGGATCACGAGGTCAGGAATTCAAGTTCAGCCTGGTCAACATAGTGAAACCCTGTCTCTACTAAAAATACAAAAAAAATCAGCTGGGTGTAGTGGTGGGCGCCTGTAATCCCAGCTACTTGAGAGGCTGAGGCAGGAGAATCACATCAACCCAGGAGGCGGAGGTTGCAATGAGCCAAGATCATGCCACTGCACTCCAGCCTGGGCGACAGTGCAAGACTCCATCTCAAAAATAAATAAATAAATAAATATAAATAAATGTTAAAAAGAAAGAAATGAGCAAACGATATAAACAGGTAGTGCACAAGAAAAAATGCAAACGGCTAAGAAACATATATAAAGGTGTTGAACTGTATTAATTTTTTAAAATACACAAAGTTACATATACCATTTTTCACCAGCAGGTTGACAGAGACTGGAAACTTAGAAGTGACCCACCCCTAACATTTGCAGGGTTAAAGCAACAGTACAAATGTGTACCCCTGTATCATACAATTACATATAGGAAAACTATAAATCAGGCAAACAGGCCAGGTGCAGTGCACGCCTGTAATCCCCGCACTTTGGGAGGCCGAGGTGGGAGGATTGCTTGAGCCTAGGAGTTTGAGACCAGCCCGGCTAACAGAGAGACCGTGCCTCTACAAAAAACAAAATAGCTGGGCGCGGTAGCGCGTGCCTGTAGTTCCAGCTACTCGAGAGGTTGAGGCGGGACGGTCTCTTGAGTGACAGGAGTGTGTGAAAGATCTTTAATAGATATTTTTGAGAAAAGCTAATTAAGGATCTGATGTATACTACGACCAACTGTATGTGTGTACATCTACATATCTATATCTATCTATAGCTGTATATATATATATAAAAATATATATATATATAAAAATATATATATATATATATAAAAAAATATATATATATATATAAATATATATATATATATAAATATATATATAAGTTTATGCTTACATTTGCTAAGAAATTTTCTAGAAGGAATTACAAGGGAGTTACTAAGAGAAGGGATACATGGGGCAGTTTTTACCTCATACTTCTGTCTGTTCAAATTTGTCAGAGCATTTGGTACTTCAAAAGAAAAACAATAACCGAAAAATACACTGAAATTTCTCAGACACATCTTGTAACAGCCTCTAGCCTCCATCAACACCAGCAACCAGAAGCGTCTCACTGTGCAGGCGTTGCGCCAGGCACTGGGCTACCCAACCACAATCAGAGTTGCCTTTCCAGGCCCATGGAATTTTGTTCAGCCAGTGGCTGCCAGTTAGTTCTCTGTCTTTGTTTCCAAGGTAGCAGGAACCCTACAGAAACCAGGAGAAAATATGTCACACCCCTAAATGTGTTTTCTTCACAGATTTCCCTAGAAGGCTGCCAGCCTGGGCAGTGGGTGAGAAGCCGCTCTGCTGGGTTACACATGGCAGGCCCAGCGCCCTGCAGGCTCAGGGAGGAGCTCTGCCCTGACCCAGCCGAATCTCACCCATGCAGGTGGTGGATCAGAGGACTTTCTGTGACTAGGAAAACAACTCAAAGGTCAGCCCTTCCCAGCAGTGAGTAAACACCCACATCCCCAGTTCTGAGAGAGGCCTGCAGAGGTGGCCTCTTCCCTAGTGAGAAGTCCTCCATGGCTAGTTATGGATTATTGGTCTGGGGGCTTCTGGACTTCAAAGACCAGCTGGATTAATCTCTGTATCCCGGTGCTTGGCACAGTGCCTGGCACATGGGTGATGTTTGCTGAATTGCCATCAGGGCCTGTCTCTTCTCCTGCCACTTTCCACACCTCTGCAAAGAGGTAACTGCTCTTGGGCTGATTCCCTGGAGTTTGAACCTCACCTCTCTGAAGGGGGCATCCTTTTGCAGGATGTGCACTGTACATCCAGGAAAACACACCAGATGAGGAGCTCCTGATGACTGGTTCACACTAATTTTGAGAACTTATCTCAGAAAATTTAGAAAATGAAGATGTCTAATAAAATACAATAAAAATTCTATTCCCCCTCCCCTTCCTGCTCTAACAGAACTGTTATGCTCCCCTGCAGCCATCTCAGGTGGGGAAAGTTTTTTGTTTGTTTGTTTATTTGTTTGTTTTTGAGACAGAGTCTCACTCTGCAGCCCAGGCTGGAGTGCAATGGCACAATCTCGGCTCACTGCAACCTCCCCCTCCCAGGTTCAAGGGATTCTCCTGCCTCAGCCTCCGGA
Source organism: Homo sapiens (assembly GCF_000001405.40). NCBI lineage: Eukaryota > Metazoa > Chordata > Mammalia > Primates > Hominidae > Homo > Homo sapiens. The sequence goes on from NC_000003.12 coordinate 197,591,289, forward strand.
GTAGCTGGGATTACAGGTGTGAGCCACCACGCCTGGCTAATTTTTGTGTTTTTAGTAGAGATGGAGTTTCACCATATTGGCCGGGCTGGTCTCAAACTCCCAACGTTGTGATCCGCCCGCCTCAGCCTCCCAGAGTGCTGGGATTACAGGCATGAGCCACCACACCCGGCCCTGAATGCTTTATCTCCTGGAGTAAATGTCCTCTTTGCTGACGACGGCCTCTTCCAGGCCATTCTGCCACTCGTGTGTCAGACTTTAGGCAGGATTTCATTGATGGACTGACCTCCATAGCCCCTCAGTCTAACAAGGAGACAACAATGGTGCTTTGGGTCTCCAGGTATCAGTTTCAACTCAGTCACTACATCAAGTAGCCCTCCGGACATCTGGGGATTCCTTTTTCTTCCGTGTACGGTCACCCAAGTACACGGCCACGGGTCCCCCTAGGGAAAGACTGGGGGAATCATTACACTCTTTTCTTGCCGGTGTTGCCGAGTTCATTCTTAGAGACCCAGCCACCTCTTCAGTCCATGGATTCCAGATCGGAAAATTGGCTTAGGTCAAAACAACTGAGTAAGGGACTGTAAGTTTGTATTAGGGCTCTGAGCCTCCTGCGTCTCCACTTGTGCCTCTTGCTGGCTGGAGGCGTTAGGCAGCACCTGTGTAGGTTGCCCATTTATTCTGCCCCGGGAGATGCTGTGCTCTGTGGACCACAACTCCCTGTGGGCCGGGCCTGGTTGGCTGCATGACTAACTCTGCAGGTCATTATGACCTCCTGGCATCTGGAAGCCAAAGGCCACCACCTGGCCTCTATGCCTGGGGGTAGAGGGGCTTCATTGCCATGGGTAGCAGTGAGCCCAGCTCTGTGACCAGCTCTCCTGTTTAGTGAGGTTGGTGCCTCTCACCTGAGCATTCCTGATGGTCGTGGTCAATCACCTGTTCTCTGGGCCCACCCCTCATACTTACCCCCACCCCCGGTGGCTCTTCTGGTCTCAGATGACATAGCCATCCCAGCGTGCCCACTTTCCTCAGGCTTTTTGTGTTTTCACTACCATCTTCCAGGGCTACTTAGTCATGTCCGTTGCCGCCATTGACACTGGCTGCCACTTTCTCCGGGCTTCTAAGAGTCACCCTTGAGTTTGTCTCATCACCTGGGGTCCTTACCAGGGTATTAAATTCGGCATCCTGAGAAAGCACCCCAAGGGAACTCTGCTAGGCCCAGGCTCCTTGATCAAGCCCCCAGGAGTGAGCAACCAGCGGCGTGTGCTGAGGAAGCCACGGCCTGCTTGCTAACCTCCCACCTCGTGCGTGCGCTGCCTCCTCACTTCCTTCGTCCTTTACTCTTACTTTCCTGGAACTCACTTCCTTTCGTCCTTTACTCTTACTTTCCTGGAACTCACTTCCTTTCGTCCTTTACTCTTACTTTCCTGGAACTCAGCCCCGCTGCCCAGAAGCACACAAGCTTTGCCTCAGGCTCTGTTTTCTAGGGAAATTGGGCCAAGGCAGAGGTCTTCATGATTTCACATGTTGTAAGAAGGGGGGAGGCTCTCATCCTGGCCCTGGAAGTGGGGGGTGCTCATAGTGAGTCCATCTAGCTAGGGATGAAAACGGAAAACTCAACGTCTATGGAAAAACACAAGGATTTGGAAGCGTCACATAAAGACTTAATCAATACAAGTTCAAACTATAATCCCTCCCTGAAATGACACAGCATTTTTCCACTGGAAGCAGCTGGGGGGCTGGTGCTGGGCTGCCGTATCTCCAGGCAGCAGAGGGCAGGGAAGGAGAAGGGCAAGAGCTCGTACCTCGGGTGTCCTTGGCTCACCGCCTGTGCTCCATTTCTGCATCTCTCGTGGTCCGTAATACTCCAGATCCTGCCACGAACAGGGGCGAGGGGAAGAGGAACTGGGCTCAGAATTGTTAAGAAAGACTTGATTTAGGAGAGCTGTGTCTCCGCACGGAGGTGGGATTGCTCATTAGGCAGAAGCTGGTGACCACCACACCAGGTGCCTTAAGATTTCAAAATCACAGGCCAGGCATGGTGGCTCACACCTGTGATCCCAGCACTTTGAGAGGCCAAGGTGGGTGGATGACCTGAGGTCAGGAGTTTGAGACCAGCCTGGCCAACATGGTGAAACCCTGTCTCTACTAAAAATACAAAAATTAGCCGGGAGTGGTGGCAGGCGCCTGTAATCCCAGCTACTTGGGGGAGGCTGAGGCAGGAGAATCGCTTGAACCCAGGAGGCAGAGGTTGCAGTGAGCCGAGATGGTGCCACTGCACTCCAGCCTGGGTGGCAGAGCGAGACTCTGTCTCAAACAAAACAAACAAACAAACAAATCACAGGTGTATGGAGGATGCACCTGACAGCAATAACTTAAGCATACCCTGAGAATGACCCTAGGCCTAAAAAGAATGTGTTTGGAGTTCTGAGCTAAGGAATCGGGAAATGGGGCCAACCTGGAGACTCATTCCTTATCTGCGAGGGGCATCTGAACCCCCCGCCCATCCTGTGGAATGGAGGCCATAGAGGGGATCCAGGCCCTTTGTTTTGGGTTAAAGGAAGGTTGCCAGGTGGAGGTTGCTAGGGGGAGGGTGCTAGGTGAAAATGCTATATAAACTGCATGCTTTTTACGAGTGGTTGCCATTCTCTGGTCCAGCCTGCTGCCACTGGACTGCCCTGTATGTAAGTCCCCTCAGGAAGCCCTGTGTCTCAGTCACTGGCCCCCAGCCTCTTCTTTGGCGTCTCGAACACACTACCAACGCTACTGCAGTCAACAGGGGTCTGGCACGACAGCAGGGCTTGCTTTTTTTGCTGTTATCGTTGTTGTTGTTGTTTTTGAGATGGAGTTTTGCTCTTTTCACCCAGGCTGGAGTGCAGTGGCGCGATCTCAGCTCACTGGAACCTCCACCTCCCAGGTTTGAGTGATTCTCCGGCCTCAGCCTTCCAAGTAGCTGGGACTACAGGCACACACCACCACGCCCAACTAATTTTTTTTTTTTTTTTTTGTATTTTTAGTAGAGACGGGGTTTCATCATGTTGGCCAGGCTGGTCTTGAACTCCTGACCTCAGGTGATCCACCCACCGGCCTCCCAAAGTGCTGGGATCACAGGCACGAGCTACTGCACCTGGCCCCAGGCTTGCTTTTACACAAGTTCAACCCCAGACACCTTCCAAGAATGGCTTCGTAGTCAGCAAGAGAGGAGGCACCCTATAGCACTCAGCTAGAGACAATATCACACCATATCCAGCAGGAGAGAGAAAGGTCGATCTTATGCCATAGGCTGACAAACTTTAAAACAGCTGTGTAGAAGGGCCCTGGTGACATAGGTTTGAAAGGGGTCGCTGCATTTGTCCAGTACAACATTTAAAGTCTGTTCTACTGTTGAGACTGATTTTCTTTCCTTACTGTCTGGAGCATCGTCTTATTCACAGGCCCGTTTATTCATCATGCGGAAACAGATGACCAGGGAATTCAAATCTAAATGATAGGTCTATCTCTGTATCTCAGTATTGAATAATAAAACCAATGATTTCTTCAGGGATTCCAAATCAGTGTTTGATAAAGATACAGGACCCGAGGGGAAAGAAGGGATCCGGAGCAAAAGAAGTTCAGATTAAATTTTCACTTAGCGTAAGATGCCCCTGACTCTATATCATGGTCCTCAAAGGTCAAAAGAGTAAAGAAAACACAAACTAGGACAAATGAGAAGGGGCCTATCCCCTAATGCCCGGTTATCCAGAGAGAAGGCAGGAAAACAACAGCTGCTGGAGAAAGTGAATGATGGTTCTCAGCCCTGGCTGCAAGTTAGAACCGCCAGGGAACTGTCAAAAATGCTAATCCAGACCGGGCGCGGTGGCTCACACCTGTAATCCCAGCACTTTGGGAGGTCGAGGAGGGCGGATCATGAGGTCAGGAGTTCGAGACCATCCTGGCCAACTCGGTGAAACCCTGTCTCTACTAAAAATACAAAAAATTAGCCGGGCGTGGTGGCGGGCGCCTGTAATCCCAGCTACTTGGGAGGTTGAGGCAGGAGAATCGCTTGAACCTGGGAGGTGGAGGTTGCAGTGAGCTGAGATCACACCACTGTACTCCAGCCTGGCAACAGAGCGAGACTCCGTCTCAAAAAAAAAAAAAAAAAAGCTAATGCTTGGGTGCCACTCCCAGAGATTCTCATTTAATGGGTCCAGGGTTTGGCCTGGTCGTCAGAAATCTTACACCTCCCCAGGTGATTCTAAAGTGCAGCTCCAGCACTGTTTTGGAGGTAGACCACTTCTGTTCCTGACGCTCTCTTGTCTCCATCTGTCACTCTCCCTCCTATTCTCCCTCCCTATGGGCCGCAACAGCTTGCTCCAGAGCTCGGATGCACGACTGACCCATTTGGGGAGTGAAGTGAGCTCTTCCCGCTGTGCCCTCCTGTCTACCGGTGCAGGAACTCCTTCCACTTCCTCCCTGTGATGTGAGTAGAATGAATTCCAACTCTCCTGGCAGCAAGTTGCATACAAAATAAAGCTTGAGGGAGAGCACTTTGAGTAGTCCCGAAAGTTCCCTCGTGGAAGAAAGACAGCAGCAGAAGAGGGCAGTGTGAGGGGCACACAGCCAGAATTCCATTCATTTCCTTTAGAGTCTATATCTAGCCAAAGAAAAGCCCTCACAGGGGAGAATCAAGGGTTCTTTTCCCCATTGACAACTCTGTGCCCACAACGCTGGTCTGTTGCAATGGTAGGGTGAGCAAGTAAAACTCGTAAAAATTTTTCAAAATTCTTTGAAAAGTGAATCAGTATTCTATCGGGCTCAGACAAACTATTTCTGCTGAGACCCATCTGGAAATGTGAAAACCTCTTTGTAGAAGGAAATTGCAGTTGATCTGAGTATTTTCTACAGAATTCTACATTCTGGACTTCCTAGAGACCTAATTGTCCTTAAAAAAAAAAGAAATGGGATTTTTTTAGTTTATTCTAATTGGAAATCAGCGACAGACATCAGAGGCAGAAGAGATAGCTGTTTTTTCTTTAAAACAAAACTAAATTGGGCCATCAGATTGCAATGGTAAAGTGCTTTTGAACCTGCCACATATGAAGTGCTTGGTAAAGGCAGTTTTTATTATCCAGAAGTGGTATTGGCTAGGCAAACCATTAAACAAAAGTCATGCTACTTCACTTTTTAATGAAGTCCAGGTGCAAATGGCCACAGGTAAAAAAGCAGTGGTAATAGGAGTTTAGAAAGGACAGCCTGGCAGGGGCAGGGGCAGGGGCAGGGGCTGGCGTGAGGGGATGGGCCGCAACAGGGAGAAGTGCCAGGAGTTTGCTTCTCTTCTCTCTGAAGCCAAGCAGGACCCTAAGAACAGCCTGGAACAGGGGTTCTCAAACCTCCATGTGCAACAAAATCACTCCCAGTTTCTGATTCAGTGGGTCTGCAGTGGGACCTGAGAATTTGCATATCTAAAAAGTTTCTGGGTGCTGGTGATGCTGCTGGTCTGGGAACCACACTTTGAGACGCACTGGCCAGGAGAGAAGAAGCAGAAAAGAAGGTCGTGCGATAATGCTGGAAAATCCACTGCTGGAACGAGGCCCTCAGGCTGCGTGAAACCAGACTGGGAACAGCCTCTTCTTTTCTTTTCTTTCTTTCCTTTTTTTCTTTGCCTTTTTTTAACTTGCAAATATATATATACCTTATTCTTTCAACCAAGCAAACACCACAAGATTTTATTTTGCTAAAACATGTTAATAACATTTATTTTATTTATTTATTTATTTTTTGGGAAGGAGTTGCACTCTTGTTGCCTAGGCTGGAGTGCAGTGGCACAATCTTCGCTCACTGCAACTTCTGCCTCCCGGGTTCAAGCGATTCTCCTGCCTCAGCCTCCCAAGTAGCTGGGATTACAGGTGCCCGCCACCACACCCAGCTAATTTTTTGTAATTGTAGTAGAGACGGGGTTTCACCATGTTGGCCACGCTGGTCTCAAACTCCTGACCTCAGGTGATCCGCCTGCCTCGGCCTCCCAAAGTGCTGGGATTACAGGCGTGAGGCACCATGCCTGGCGTTAATAACTTTTTTTTAATGACGATGACTGGAAACAATTTCTAGCCTCTGCATCTGGGCCACCATGCCCACTATGGTTCAAAACTCAGGCTTCTGGATTTTTTTTCTGTATCCTCTTCCCACCCCACACTGGTGGCCTGACGGAATTTCAACAGTGTCTTGGTGACAGCAATTTGAAGTTGTGTTAGCATTCGGAATGAAACAGGACTCTTAAGGCCAGTCAGTTTTGCCACTGATTAACCATGTCACTCCTCCCTCTCTGAACCTTGGCTTTCTTATCACTAAAGGAAGAGGTTTGGACAAGATGGTATGCATGAAAATGATAATGTTTTGATGTTTATCGTTTATTTGGCCTTTGAGCCATAAGAGCTCAGTTAATCCCTGTGAAATCATTTTTATTGCCTCCCCACTTTTCACAGAGAAAGAGAATTGGAAAAGCACAGTCATTTTTGAGCATCAAGATAAAGAAGATGGCCACATAAAAGCTTCTGCAAAAACCCCACGGAGGACCTAGTCCCTTATGTTACTTAGTGTTCCTTATATAACAGTTTACATGAAAAAATCCTCCTGAAAGTTAGTGCCTGATAAATATGTCCCTCCAGAAGATGTAATATGCGTCATTTTATAAGGCAGAATCAACTTTCTAACACTTCATGTTTTTCTTTTGTTTAACTGCCAGGAAGCTTGGAGCTAATTATGCCAAGATTATAATAACCATTTAAATCTCAAAGTCCTGGCATTATCTCCCATATCTTCTAAATCCTAATGCCTAAGTTTTCTTAGGGAGACTATCTGTGAATAGGGGGATTGTGTAATTTATCATCGAAATGGGAGTCTTTTCAGAGGGAGAAAACTATTCATAAATGTGCCAGGTGATAGATATAAGCCAGGACTGTCCCAGGCAAACCGAGATGGGTAGGCACCCTACCTGTAGTTGGAAACAGGTTTGCCAAAAATTATATACAAATAGCGGTCGATTAGACCTGGTTGGTGCAGCAGTTCTGGGTCTCATCAAACTCAGCAGAATAACACAGAGTAGAGATAGATGATAAGCCACAGGAAACAACAACAAAGGTTCTGAACGTATTTGTGGGTGTGGGAAGGGAATGGGTGAGCCCTCTCCCATCATGCAGCCCTATCCCACTTTATTTCCCAAAGCCTGTGCCTCCTCAGTACTGTGGACATCGTGTCTTGTGGCCAGTCGCAGCTCAGAGCCTCACTCTCTCTCCCAGGCTGGAGTGCAATAGCACGATCTCGGCTTACTGCAGCCTCCGCCTCCCAGGTTCAAGCGATTCTCGTGCCTCAGCCTCCTGAGCAGCTGGGACTACAGGAGCGAGCTACCACACCCAGTTAATCTTTGTATATTTAGTACAGATGGGATTTCACCATGTTGGCCAGGCTGGTCTTGAACGCCTGACCTCATGATCCACCGCCTTGGCCTCCCAAAGTGCTGGGATTACAGGCCTGAGCCACCGCGCCCGACCAGCTGTTCAATTCTTTATAGGAGGGGCTTAGGTTGGGCAAATCTGTTTAGAAGGGAAGGTCAGGGGGACTTTAATCCGGAATTGTAAGGCACTTTACTGAAGACTGGAACAAATGTGATTGTCCATCTCAAAAAAATGGGGTGGTGCTGATGAAGATGATGAGACCCTGAAAGTCAGTCACCATGCAGTCGGCTCCCTCACAGAGCATGCCACCCCAGCGTTTGCCTGCTCACATCCTGCTATGCTTTTCCCCATGCCGAGGACAGTACTGACCTCCCCACCTTTCTCCTGGCACAGCCAGTTTAGCTGCGGGACCCTCTCCTCTGCAGACAGGTCCCAGCAGGGCTCAGAGGCAGGAAGAAGCCGCTATGCCGCTTCTATGAACCAACACTAGAGGTCGCCCTTCTCCAGCATCGGACAAGAGTCCACCAAAGGGAGAGCTCCAGCTTCTGCTTAAAATGCCCTGATCACAGATGACAACTCCGGGGGGACCTCGCCCCACGTGGGAAGGCACTGCTCTAAGGCAGAGGAGGAGGCTGAGCCCACCCAGCCCCAACGGAGGCCCAAGGTTGCTGAGGGGAAGCAGAGCTGGGCTGGAGGCAGGGACAGGCCCATCTTCAGAGTCCTTTCTCCTGCCCAGCCATCCCCGTGGAGAGAACGCTGTGCTCCAGGGGAAGCCAAGTGCCTTGGGATCTGAGGAGCTGCCTGGCGCTGGGCTGGGAAAGACCGAATCGTTTCCAGGAGCGATGAACATCTGGGAGCGACAGAAGCCTGTGCAGCCTGCAGAGTGACTAATGTGTGTGTAAACTGTGAGGGGCTATGCATGCAGAGGCAAGCACATTCATTCGTAATTGGCCGCTCATTCTCTGCAAATAGAGACCCTGTCTAAAGAAGGCTCAGGTGCCCGGTAAGAGCCATCGTAGCCGGGGCTGCCTGGCTTGTCTGTTGTTCTCGCTCCCTTGGGTTCCTGGGCAAGCTTTCCTCACCAAGCCCCGGCTGTCTGTGTAAAAAGGAAGGGAGGGTACTTCCAAAAGGCAATTCTACACTATTTTTTTTTGTTTTTTTTTGAGACGGAGTCTCGCTCTGTCTCCCAGGCTGGAGTGCGGTGGTGCGATCTCGGCTCACTGCAAGCTCCACCTCCCGTGTTCACGTCATTCTCCTGCCTCAGCCTCCTGAGTAACTGGGATCACAGGCGCCCGCCACCAGGCCCGGCTAATTTTTTGTATTTTTAGTAGAGACGGGGTTTCACCGTGTTAGCTAGGATGGTCTGGATCTTCTGACCTAAGGTGATCTGCCCGCCTTGGCCTCCCAAAGTGCTGGGATTACAGGCGTGAGCCACCGCGCCCGGCCCAATTCAACATTCTTTACTTTTCTAGTCATAACCTATTTTCAGCTGGAAACCAGAAAGGCTGGTTCTATGTGCAGATGGCAATGCTGAGGTTTAGAGGTAAAACACCCACCTGAAGTGAATAGAGGCTGGACTGGAACCCAGGATGGCTCACCTGGAGGCGGCGCTCCCATACGGCACCCGGCAGCCTGTTTTGTACAGGAACAATACTTGCCTTCCTCCGCAAAAAACAAACAAACAAACAAAAAATGCAGGGGTTGAAAAGAAAACTGCCTGAGCTGAAAAGTTTTGTTGTTGTTGTTCTGAGACAGGGTTTCCCTGTCGCCCAGGCTGGAGTACAGTGGTGTGATCTTGGCTTACTGCAGCCTCCGCCTCCCGGGAGTAGCTGGGACCACAGGAGTGTGCCACAGCTAATTTTTGTATTTTTGTAGGATATGGTTTTGCCATGTTGCCCAGGCTGGTCTCGAACTCCTGAGCTCAAGCAATCTGCCAGCCTTGTCCTCCCAAAGTGCTGGGGTTACAGGTATGAGCCAGCGTGCCCCACCTGAAAAGTTTTAAATGAGGCAAGGGTGTCAAAACAAACAAAAAACAACAACCAGGAGAAGTGAGCATTGCCTCTGAGCCCCATGTGCGATCCCTCAGATGCCGAGGCAGGTTGCACTATCACCCACCATGAGCCCTCCGACCCTGGCCTGTGGAGTGGAGAAAAGACGCCAACTGCTCCCCTGCAGCACCCTGCGCTTTTCTTCCTCCAGGCCCGATGGTGGGTCTCAGCCAGCTGGTTACACACGAGCGCGCGACATGTCCAAAGCGAAGCACAGCCCTTTGTGTCGTCAGCAGGGGAAGAGATAGCAGTTGCTCCCACATGAAGCCCAGGGTACCTGGCAGAGTGCAGCCCCTCCTCTTCCCACTGGGAGGAAATAGGGTAACTAACCCATTTCCCAGATGCAAAGTGATCTGGAGGTCCTCCCTCAACAGACCCTTCAAGCCGAGCGTCATCGGGAGCTGAGTCATCCAGACACTATGGTACTAGGTCTGTGCCATCACAGAACTAAAGTCACTCTCTCTTCAGCTAGAGGAGAGCCTCTCACGGACAGGCGCCATGGCTGATTCATCCTAGCATTGCCCACAAACCTGGACTCACGGGGTACGGTGGGTGCTTAGTAACTACTCATCCATCAAATTGTCCAAATTAACCTCACTGCTGAATGGAATTAAGCCAAGGCCACCTCTCTTGGGAGAAGCGTGTTTTTCTGGAACACAGGGAGGATCCTTAGCTCTAACAAGTTGACATTTTGAAACATAATAACCCTTAAAAGGCATCTGTTTGTTTTTTTTTTAAATAACTCCGGAAAAAAGGACCTTTCATAGCAGTACTGAGTATCTACCCAAAAGTACGCGTGATCGTATTTCTTCTTTGTTTCTTCTCAGGAAGGAATGGTTTTCCCAAGCCAGTGCCTTCCTGGGTGTTTCACTGCCCTTGAGAAGCTGGATGCTGCCAGAAGGGAGTGAAGCCATGAGAACAGTCTGTTATTCATGTTCGATTCCTCTTGACCTTGAAGATCTTTTTTTTTTTTTAATTATTTATTTTTTTTATTGATCATTCTTGGGTGTTTCTCGCAGAGGGGGATTTGGCAGGGTCACAGGACAATAGTGGAGGGAAGGTCAGCAGACAAACAAGTGAACAAAGGTCTCTGATTTTCCTAGGCAGAGGACCCTGCGGCCTTCCGCAGTGTTTGTGTCCCTGGGTACTTGAGATTAGGGATTGGTGATGACTCTTAACGAGCATGCTGCCTTCAAGCATCTGTTTAACAAAGCACATCTTGCCCCGCCCTTAATCCATTTAACCCTGAGTGGACACAGCACATGTTTCAGAGAGCACAGGGTTGGGGGTAAGGTCACAGATCAACAGGATCCCAAGGCAGAAGAATTTTTCTTAGTACAGAACAAAATGAAAAGTCTCCCATGTCTACCTCTTTCTACACAGACACGGCAACCATCCGATTTTTCAATCTTTTCCCCACCTTTCCCCCATTTCTATTCCACAAAACCGCCATTGTCATCATGGCCCGTTCTCAATGAGCTGTTGAGTACACCTCCCAGACGGGGTGGTGGCCGGGCAGAGGGGCTCCTCACTTCCCAGTAGGGGCAGCCAGGCAGAGGCGCCCCTCACCTTCCGGACGGGGCGGCTGGCCGGGCGGGGGGCTGACCCCCCACCTCCCTCCCGGACGGGGCGGCTGGCCGGGCAGGGGGCTGACCCCCACCTCCCTCCCGGACGGGGTGGCTGCCGGGCGGAGACGCTCCTCACTTGCCAGACGGGGTGGCTGCCGGGCGGAGGGTCTCCTCACTTCTCAGATGGGGTGGCTGGGCAGAGACGCTCCTCACCTCCCAGACGGGGTCGCGGCTGGGAAGAGGCGCTCCTCACATCCCAGACGGGGCGGCGGGGCAGAGGCGCTCCGCACATCTCAGACGATGGGCGGCCGGGCAGAGACGCTCCTCACTTCCTAGATGAGATGGTGGCCAGGCAGAGACGCTCCTCACTTTCCAGACTGGGCAGCCGGGCAGAGGGGCTCCTCACATCCCAGACGATGGGCGGCCAGGCAGAGACGCTCCTCACTTCCCAGACGGGGTGGCGGCCGGGCAGAGGCTGCAATCTCGGCACTTTGGGCGGCCAAGGTAGGCGGCTGGGAGGTGGAGGTTGTAGCGAGCCGAGATCACGCCACCGCACTCCAGCCTGGGCACCATTGAGCACTGAGTGAACGAGACTCCGTCTGCAATCCCGGCACCTCGGGAGGCCGAGGCTGGCAGATCACTCGCGGTTAGGAGCTGGAAACCAGCCCGGCCAACACAGCGAAACCCCGTCTCCACCAAAAAAAATACGAAAACCAGTCAGGCGTGGCGGCGCACGCCTGCAATCGCAGGCACTCGGCAGGCTGAGGCAGGAGAATCAGGCAGGGAGGTTGCAGTGAGCAGAGATGGCAGCAGTACAGTCCAGCTTCGGCTCGGCATCAGAGGGAGACCATGGAAAGAGAGGGAGAGGGAGACCGTGGGGAGAGGGAGCGGGAGAGGGAGAGGGACTCTCAGATAACTTTCTAAAACCTCCGAAGATCTTTTTTCATGTGTGAGATAATAATAGAAGATATTCCTGAGAGTTTTGTGTATTTTTGTGTATTTTCCTTGCTTGTGGATGGAAGCGCGATGTCTTCTATTACCAAATGTGCCTAAGCCCCAGCCTGTGGCTCTAAAGAAGGTTACATCAACATAAAAGTCACATTTTAATTTTCTGTCTCCCTGCACCTGCCTGCTGACTCAGGATCTCAGCCCAGCCACGTGGCATCTCCCACCACCTCCACTTGTTTCTGGGACTACCTGGAGCAGCTTGGATGCACTGTGGCTCAGCTCCCTCACAGTCTTCAGTCCAGCCGCTGTCAGGCTCCTTGTGGGGAGGCCTCTCGCTGCTGTCCCTTCAGCCGGGGGTCTCCAGGGGCGCTGCTGTGGCTGTCTCCAGAGCTCCCCAAGGGGCAAGTCTGTTGAAGGTGCCAGAGCGTTCTGCGTTCCCTGCCGGCCAACACATCATCAGAGGTGGGGCGATGCTCCTCCTCAAGCAGTTCACTCTCTGCCCCGCGCCAGCTGGGCCTGACCACACTGCCCTTGGCCTTTTCCTGTCTTTCTCTCCACCACGCTTGCTGCACCTCAATATGCATCCACCACCCCCCACCCAGAAAAAAAAAAAGCTTCTTCTTCAGGACCCTTTCCGGACCACTCAGTCACCAGCGCCAAGCAGAATGTGCTCAAAGGGCATCTCCACGCTGCTAAATCCATTCTACACCAAAATGAACACAACAAAAAAGTAACCCCTTTCTCAGGACTGCACCTGGAAAAGGGAGTTTAAACTTTACCTTTGCGACCTGGCTTCTTATGGGCAGCATTGTGCAAGAGCCGGGTCAGCACTCAAGAGTGATGCCACCTGAAAGGTCACACACTCAGTGCCCAGCTTGCCTTCCCCAGCCCTGGCCTGGCATCTCAGAGCCCTTTTCTTGCTGTGTGAAGCTTCCCCTTCTATCATCCCGGGCCCTCATTGCTTTCAAAACCTGCTCCCAGGAAAGGCACTGCGGAAGCCACGTGTACCGTGGCTAAGTACCTGCGTGCCCTCTCTCAGACGGGCAGTGACCGCATCGCCCGGACCACAGAACAGTGAGGTTCGATGTAAAAAATGCCACACCTACGGGCTGGTGGACTTTGGGAAAGTGAAAGTCTGAGGCTTTGCTTTCTCATCAGCTAAATGAGAGTTGTGAAAACGACGTTTGTCACAAGGTGATTGTGACAATGAGATGAGATGTTGCTGGAAAGCACTCAATAAAAATGATTTCTTATTTAAGATGTAGGTAGGTGGGAGATATTTTCAGGGAAAGTGGTGGGAGTGAGGATGGACATGACAGGCACAAAACGTTTTTGAAAGAAACTGCTGTATGTACTTTGTTTTTTGAGTTTTTTTGTTTGTTTGTTTTTGAGATAGAGTCTCCCTCTGTCACCCTGGCTGGAGCGCAGTGGCGCAATCTTAGCTCACTGCAACCTCTGCCTCCCAGATTCAAGCGATTCTCCTGCCTCAGTCTCCCAAGTAGCTGGGACTACAGGCGTGTGCCACCACACCTGGCTAATTTTTGTATTTTTAGTAGAGACGGGGTTTCACCTTGCTGACCAGGCTGGTCTGGAATTCCTGACCTCAGGTGATGCCTACCCCTGAGGAGGTAGGAATCCTCCTACCTGAGGGCCTACTGAGGAGGCCCACCTCGGCCTCCCAAAGTGCTGGGATTACAGACGTGAGCCACCATGCCTGGCCTATATTGCTAAATTTTAAAATTCTTCAATATCATGGCTCTCAATAGAGAATGTTAAATCATTTTTAGGTAAGCAAAAGTAGAATATAATAATATAGCTATATGCTATAAGCTTAATTGGGTAAAATGATATATGGGGAACCCAGAAAATGAGTTGAATTTGGGGGACACAGAATCTAGGGTGACTTTTTTTTCTTTCTTTCCTTCTGCTATTAAAGTTGACTGAATTTTTTATTTTCTTCCAAGATCTATTAGGATAGGAGGATTATTTGATGGTGAAGCGATTAATTCAAATACATGATCACATACATGAGGTCAGCATGGTAACCTGACATTGTTCCCAGAACTTATTTCCTTGGAACATTCTTCTCTTGAGAACAGGTCCTTGTTCCAGGCCACTTTCAGTATCCTTGAATCACACAACCTTCTGGTGCTACTTTTCAAAACTCTCATTCTGGTCACATTATTATTATTATTGAGACAGAGTCTCGCTCTGTCACCCAGGCTGGAGTGCAGTGGCGTGATATTGGCTCACTGCAAACTTCACCTCCCGGGTTCAAGTGATTCTCCTGCCTCAGCCTCCCAAGTAGTTAGGATTACAGGCACCTGCCACCATGACCAGCTAATTTTTGTATTTTTAGTAGAGACAGGGTTTTGCCATGTTGGCCAGGCTGGTCTCAAACTCCTGACCTCAGGTGATCCACTCGCCTTGGCCTCCAAAAGTGCTGGGATTACAGGCGTGAGCCACTGCGCCCGGCCTAGAGTTCACTCTTTATGTTGTACAGTTCTGTGGATACTCACAAGTGCGTAATGCCATGTATCCACCATACAGTGTCATACCAAATATTTTCATTGCCCTAAAAATCCCGTGTACTCCAATACACATTCCTTTCCTCAGCACGAGTCATTCTGAAGGATAGACCATATGTTAAGTCACAAAATAAGTCTTAAAACTAGAAATCAATAATGAGGAATTTTGCAAAAAATAAAAACACATGGAAATTAAACAAAATGCTTCTGAATGATCAGTGGGTCCGTGGTTTTAATGTCATAAACTTTTGTTGATAATATGTCTTTCAGCCTGATATAAGGGCAAACAGAGAGCCCCCATGGGGTTTTCCAGCTATGGGGAGTCAGTGGTATACTGGGAAGGCATTGATTTTGAGTCACAAGACCTGAGTTCTAATAATACCCTATCAAAATGCTGTCAGTAATAAACCAATTAAAAAATGATATAAACTTTCTCTAATTCCTTCAACATTTCTATAAAATACTTTAGGTGTCATGCTTAAATGTCCATGCTTACACCACTACAGGCCACCTGCACAAGTTAAGTGATCACTATGAACACCCTCTAGGGGTGAATTCTTCGGAGGCCATATGTATGGCTAGATATCCCTTGAAGAATTCCTAGTGTTCTTGTCACACAAAGTTCTAGAAACTGCTTTGCAAGTGTGCATTTCCATCCTGAATGTTTGCTGAGTTCCAGCTAGATTTTCACAGCAATATTGTCTCCTTTCCTTCTGATCTAGTTTGATCTTTGCACAGGTGTCCAGGTTTTGCTACAAAATGAACTACGTTTGGTAACTCACAGGGCACCTCCTGCTGTCCCTTCTTCTGGAAAGACCCATCTCCAGGTCAGGACACAGAGCTTGCATTTCAGGCCCATTCGCTGGCTCTGCAGGGCCTTTTTGTGCAGTGCCTGAACTGCCCCACTGCATACTGCGGCCCTGGACACAATCCTCCCTTCTGCCAATAAACAGTGGAGCTGCTACCAATGAGTTGTTCTTCCAAGATTGAGGGCAAGAACTGTTCTAGCTCATCTGTAGAGTCAGTTTCTAGCACACAGTTTGGCATATAGTAAGTCATTAATTTGGGATGAAGGGGTCAAACGGTGGCTTGAAGGATGGATGTCTCAAAGGACGGATGGATGGATGAATAATGAATGGATTTATGGAAGGACAGATGGAAGACAGAAAAGGAGAAAAACATGGTAGTAAAGCAAGGCTGAAGGCAAAAACACCTGGAATGAAGGACTGTGGCCCTCACCTGACAGGCGGCACCCGATGTGAAGAGAGAAGGTGTAAGCAAGAAGTTATAGCCTGCTCATAGTGCCAGCCCTTGTTTCTAAAGCTGCAACTTGGAGCCTTTCCATTAGGGCAGCCAAGAGACCAGGGCAGGCCATCTCCCATTCTCCCTTTCTCAGATCTTCTGTTTTCTCCTCAAGAAATGGGAGTGGAAAAAGTCATGAGGGATTTCTAAATAAGTGTTCAATGTATGAAGACACCAAGGAGATCCTGCAGCCTTTGTTTCTTGGGTAGATCTGGAGGTAATTTCCTAAGAAATAAGCTGAAGGAAGAAAGCATTCCTTTGTAATCTTCTCCAAAGCTCTGGGCAAAGCCTTCCGATAACAAATACTTTTTAAGGGCTTCATGCAATAAACATGGAGCTTTGAGCTAAGCCTGCTTGGGCTCCTGCTATGGTGCACACTGGTGAGTCCAGGTTGTTCCAGGCCGTGGACAGAGTCCAAGGTAGAAGCCACATCACAGGTACATCCTAGCGCTGGAGGCAGGACCTCAGGTTGTCATTTCTCCAGTGGGAAGGCTACACGGGGCTGACTTTATTGATGACTCTTAGCGTGTTTTCCATTCGGTAATGCTACACAGGAGTGAAGATTCTGACTTGCTTTCTGAGCAAGAGCTTTAGATGAGGTGACTTTGGAGTAAGCATTTACATATGCATACATTTTTCCTCCTTTTACTTGAATTTCCTTGACTTCTTTTGCTCAGATGATCCGTGACAGGCAATTTGCTTTATGTCAGGTGAAGGCCATTAACAACCAGGTGCGCGAACTGTGACAAAGTCACACTGGAGGCTGTTTAGGTCCTTGCTGACTTGGCCCTACTGTAAGGCCATGGAAGGCCATTGCATTGTTGTTGAAGGTGATAGTTGGGCCTTTTGCATGGGTCTGTGTTTGTAAAGACCTTTATAACGGAAATCTGTGAAATGTTTGGTACTAAGTCCTTCTGGGGTAAATGAACCACAAAAACTCTGGGCATGCTGACCCATGAAGGGAGTGTCAGGTTCCAGGACCAGTCACTAACTTGCAAATAACAATTGTAGCCTGGATTTCTCTTCCTGTGTTTTCTTCGTAACCTTTCAATCAGCATGCGGGCAGCTAGCTAAAGGAGCTTAAAGCAAACCTGGAGAAGTTGATGAACAACACTGGGATCTTATTTGCTGAAATTTCCCTGAGAGCAAAACAGTAAAAGGAGAACTTGGATTTCCAAAACACAGTGGTCATCCCTGTCTTGAAAACAATGTCCTCATTTGAGAAGCAAGTGGCTTTAATCTGTTCCTCACCCCACTGGCTTGTCTCCTAGCTTTTCGTTTGGGTTCTTCCTCTAAAGTGTAGAATTCCAAAAGTGAGGAGCGTGTCTCCTCTGGATCCCCGACCAATGACTGGGCCTGGAACCATCACGAGAGCCCTGAGAAGACCTGCTAGCACCTTGCTGGGGTCTGTGTCCTGAGTGGACATGTCAGTTGCCTACCTTTAAAAGCGCTAAGGGCCGACCTCGTGCAGCTGGAAGCTTTTGTGAAAAGGCACTCACAGGATTCCCTGCTGGATGCATGGTGCATGGCTCGGCACAATGAAGGGACACAAAAGCAATAAAGTGATGGTCCTTACAGTCTAATGACAAATGTGAATTATTCCACAGCCACTAGGAACCCCTGACTAAGGAATGGGCCCTATCTAGGGAGCAGTTTCAAATCACGTTCTCAGGTAATACCTGGTACTCACATCCAGTCGGAGTGGATTCATCCCAGGTTCCAGGGCAAAGCCAGAGAAAATGCAGAGCCATCACATCTCTCACTTCCCCCAGGATGGGCTAGACTAGTATGTAGGTCTTCTGGGCAGGAAAAAGACTATACCATATGCGTAAAAACCCTCGCATGCACACTCCCACACACATCTGAGTTGTTTGCCCTGAGCACCTCCAGCATATTATCCTCTCAGGGTCCATCCTGTATCCCATGCCTTTACCCTACTCCTATCTTTTTTTTTTTTTTTTAAGATGGAGTGTTGCCCTGTCACCCAGGCTGGAGTGCAGTGGCGCAAGCTCGGCTCACTGCAACTTCTGCCTCCCGAGTTCAAGTGATTCTCCTGCCTCAGACTCCCGAGTAGCTGAGATTGCAGGCGCCCACCACCACACCTGGCTAATTTTTTAATTTTTAGTAGAGAAGTGGTTTCACCATGTTGGCCAGGCTGTTCTTGAACTTCTGACCTCAGGTGATCCACCCGCCTCGGCCTCCCAAAGTGCTGGGATTACAGGCATGAGCACCATGCCCAGCTAAGGATGCCCATTTTCATCACTGTTATTCAACATAGTACTGGAAGTCCTACCCAGAGCAATCAAGACAAGAGAAGGAAGTAAACGGAATCCAAGTTAGAATGGAAGAAGTCAAATTATCTTTGTTTGCAGATGATATGATCTTATATTTGGAAAAAGCTGAAGACTCCACCAAAGAACTATTAGAACTGGTAAACAAATTTCAGCAAAGTTGCAGGATACAAAATCAACATACAAAAATCTCTAGCATTTGTATATGCCAACAGCAAACAATCTGAAAAAGAAATTTAAAAAGTCATCCCATTTACAATAGCTACTTAGGATTCTATTTAATCTTTTATTACTTTGGTTAAGTTCATTAACCATTTAATTAATTATTAGTTAACTAATTATAGAGATCTTGCATTTCTTTGGTTAAGTTTATTAACCAAAATGTGTATACCTTTATTATACATTTTATCAAAGAAATGAAAGATCTCTATAATTAAAACTATAAAACTTTGATGAAAAAATTTGAAGACCACACACACACACACACACACACACACACACACACACAAATGGCAAGATATTCCATGTTCATGAAGGCATCAATATTGTTAAAATGCCCATACTACCCAAAGAAATCTGATGATCCAATGCAATCCCTATCAAACACCAATGACATTCTTCACAGAAATAGAAAAAAAAACAACAACTAAAATTTATGTGGAACCACAAAAGACCAAGAATAGCCAAAGCTATCCTAAGCAAAAAGAATGAAACTGGAGGAACCACATTAGCTGACCTCAAACTATACTACAGAGCTATAGTAATCAAAACAGCTTGGTATTGGCATAAAAACAGACACATAGACCAATGGAACAGAATAGAGAACATAGAAATAAATCCATACATCTATAATGAACTCATTTTCTACAAAAGTGTCAAACACATACACCGGGGAAAGGACAGTCTCGTTAATAAATGGAGCTGGGACAACTGGATATCCATATGCAGAAGAATAAAGCTAGAACCCTACCTCTTGCCATAAAAAAAATGGATTAAAGACTTAGATCTCACTTTGGGAGGCTGAGGCAGGTGGATCACCTGAGGTCAAGAGTTTGAGACCAGCCTGGCCAACATGGTGAAACCCGTCTCTACCAAAAATACAAAAATTAGCTGTGCATGGTGGGGCACCCCATAATCCCAGCTATTTGGGAAGCTAAGGCAGAAGAATTGCTTGAATCTGGGAGGCAGAAGTTGCAGTGAGCTGAGATCATACCATCACACTCCAGCCTGGGCAACAGAGTGAGATTCCGTCTCAAAAAAAAAAAAAAAAAAAAAAAGACTTAAATCTAAGATCTCAAACTATGAAACCACTAAAAGAAAACATTGGAGGAACTCTCCAGGACATTGGACTGGGCAGTTATTTCTTGAGTAATACCCCATAAGCATAGGCAACCAAAGTAAAAATGGACAAATGGAATCACATCAAATTTAAAAAGCTTCAACAAAGTGAAGAGACAGCCCACAGAATGGGAGAAAATATTTGCAAACTGCCCATCTGACAAGGTATAAATAACCAGAATATATAAGGATCTCAAACAA
Organism: Homo sapiens; assembly: GCF_000001405.40. Taxonomy (NCBI): domain Eukaryota; kingdom Metazoa; phylum Chordata; class Mammalia; order Primates; family Hominidae; genus Homo; species Homo sapiens. The sequence continues at coordinate 197,610,940 of NC_000003.12, forward strand.
CTCGACAAGAAAAATTCTAATAATCCAATTTAAAAATGGGCAAAAGATCCAAATAGACATTTCTCAAAAGAAGATATAAAATGGCAAACATACATATGAAAAGGTGCGCAACATCATTGATCATCAGAGAAATGCAAACCAAAACTGCAAGAAGATACCATCTCACCCCGGTTAAAATGGCTTATATCCAAAAGATAGGCAATAATAAACACCGGCGAGGATGTGGAGAAAAGGAAATCCTCATACACTGTTGGTGGGAATATAAATTAGCACAACCACTATGCATAACAGTTTCCTCAAAAAAGCTAAACTACCATATGATCCAGAAATCCCACTGCTAGGTATATGCCCAGAAGAAAGGAAATTGTATGGCAAAGGTATATTTGCACTCCCATGTTTGTTGCAGCTCTGTTCACAATAGCCAGGATTTGGAAGCAACCTAAGTGTCCATCAACAGATGAATGGATACAGAAAATATGGTACATATACACAATGAAGTACTACTGAGCCATGAAAAAGAATGAATCATTTGCAACAACATGGATGGAACTGGAGGAAATTATGTTACATGAAATAAGCCAGGCACAGAAAGACAAGCTTCACATGTTCTCGTTTATTTGTGGGATCTAAAACTCAAAACAATTGAGCCCGTGGAGATAGAGTAGAATGATGGCTACCAGAGTCTGGAAAGGGTAGTTGGGGGTGGAGAAAATGAGCGATGGTTAATGGGTACAAAAATATAGTTAGATAGAATTAATAAAATCTAATATTTGATAGGACAATGGAGTGACTACAATTTATTATACATTTAAAAATAACTAAAAGAGTATAACTGGATTGTTTGAAACATGAAGAAAGCATCAGTGCTTGAGCTGACGGATACTCCATTTACCCTGACATGATTGTTACACATTGTATGTCTCTATCAAAATATCTTATGTACCCCATTAATATATACATCTAATAGGTACCCATAAAAATAAAAAATAGGCTGGGCACAGTGGCTCGCGCCTGTAATCCTAGCACTTTGGGAGGCCAAGGTGGGCAGATGACCTGAGGTCAGGACTTCAAGACCAGCCTGGCCAACATGGTGAAACGCCATCTCCACTAAAAATACAAGTTAGCCGGGCATAGTGGCACATGCCTGTAATCCCAGCTACTCGGGAAGCTGAGGCAAGAGAAATGCTTGAACCTGGGAGGCGGAGGTTGCAGTGAGCCGAGATTGTGCACCACTAAACTCTGGCCTAGGCGACAGAATGAGACTCTGTCTCAAAAATAAAAATAAAAATAAATTAAAAATAAAAATAAATTTAAAATTAAAAATTAAGACCAGGCTGTACCCTGAGGTAGTTTAGAAGGCTAAACTCCTATAACTTAGTCTTGGGAGGTCTCAAGGCTTAGCCAGCTCAAATTTTCCATTTCTCCAATAGAAGTTCTCTTATGAACTCTGAAGAAATTGCAGCATTTCTTTTGCTTTTAAATCTATCTACTTCTCCATGATTTTAGGAATACCCACTGGAGTTTCTTCTAATGTAGTGATTAATTCTGGTAAATTCAATATAATACAATTTAATTTAATAAAATCCAGGGAAGTGGGGTGGATGGGGAAAGCGGAGAAGTTCATCAAAGAGTACAAAGTTTCAGTTAGACAGGAAAAATAAGCTTTAGTGATTTATTGCATAGAATAATGACTGTATTAAATAATAATGCATTGTATATTTTATTTTGTTTTGTTATTTATTATTTTTGAGACAGAGTCTCACAATGTTGTCTAGGCTGGTGTCAAACACCTAGGCTCAAGCGATCCTCTGGCCCCATCCTCTTGAGTAGCTGGGACTACAGGCATGTACCACCATACCACACCATTTGTATATTTTAAAATTGCTTGTGTACGATGCTCACGATCTGGCTGACAGGATCATTCATACCCCAAACCTCAGCATCACACAATATACCCATATAGCAAGCCTGCACATATACCCCATTAATCTAAAGTAAAAGTTAAAAATACTTTTTCAAAATAACAAAATAAATAAATAAAATTGCTAAAAGAGTGGTGCATGCCTGTAATCCCAGCTACTCAGGAGGCTGAGGCAACAGAATCACTTGAACCCAGCAGGTTGTGGTGAGCCAAGATCATGCCATTGCACTCCAGCCTGGGCAACAGAGTGAGACGCCATTTCAAAAAAAAAAAAAAAAAAAAGAAAGAAAAGGGTAGATTTTAAATGTTCTCACAACAACAAAAAATGATAAGTATGTAAGATTCTTAACCACAGTTGATGTACCTCACAGGAAGAGCTTCTCTTTCAAGATGTGTAGCTGCCCGATGGGTTCTTCCTGCCCACTGCACAAAAAAATCAGTTCATGGAGACCATGGCACTGCAGTAAAGAAAGAGGTTAATTGACATGATGCCAGCCACACCATGTGGGAGGCAGAGTTATTACTCAAATCAAACTCATCTAAGGCTTGGAGGTTAGGGATTTTTCAAAGGTAATTTGGTAGGTAGCAGGCTAGGGTATGGGGAGTGCTGATTGGTTGGGTCAGAGATGAAATCATAGGGTGTCGAAGCTGTCCTCTTTCTCTGAGTCGCTTCTGGGTGGGGACACAGAAGCCGTTGGCTGGTCCCGGTGGAGCCATCGGTCATCAGACATGCAAAATCCTGAGAAGATATCTCAGAAGGCCAATCCTAGGTTCTACAAAAGTAACATTATCTGCAGGGGTAACTGAGGAAGTTGCATATCTTGTGGCTTCTGGAATAACGCCTCACAATTGTTTTTGTCTACACCTTAGCAGAATTTAGGCTCCTCTCCTCCTCCTAGCCTGGTGGTCTCTCAGTATTACAAGGGTGGTTGAGTTTCGGGGAAGGGTTATTATAATTTAAACTATCAACTAAATGACTCCCACATGTAGCTTGGCTTAAACCCAGGAATAAGTAAAAGCAGCTTGAAAGCTAAAGGCAAGAGGGAGGTTGGCTAGATCAGCTTTCTTTCACTGCCATTATTTTCTCACTGTGATAATTTTTGCAAAGGCGGTTTCAGATGTGATTGGATTTTTGGATACTGTGAACCCTGAATATCTGAGACTGGTCTCAGTCAATTTAGAAAGTTTATTTTGCCAAGGTTGAGGCTGCATGCCTGTGGCACAGCCTCAGGAGGTCCTGACGACATGTGCCCAAGGTGGTCAGGGCACAGCTTGGTTTTATACATTTTAGGGAGACATGAGACATCAATCAATATATGTAAGATGAACATTGGTTCCATCCAGAAAAGCAGGACAACTCAAGCAGAGAGGGATCTTCCAGGTCACAGGTAGGTGAGAGTCAAATGGTTGCATTATTTTGAGTTTCTGATGAGCCTCTCCAAAGGAGGCAATTAGATAAGCATTTATCTCAGTGCACGGAGGGATGACTTTGCATAGAATGGGAGGCAGGTTTGCCCTAAGCCATTCCCAGCTTGACTTTTCCTTTTAGCTTAGTGATTTTGGGGGCCTCAAGTTTTCTTTTCCTTTCACATTTCCCCCTTTTTCTGTTTAAAAATCTTTTGGAGAAAGCATTTTAGAAGAAAACGAGTCTCTGGTCTCAGGTTTCGTCTGGTCTCTCACAGCTGGGATGGTTTATTCCTAGGCAGATGGGTCTTGAGTTATTAGGAAAGCTCATTTTTATCAGGTTGAGAATCCTCATGTCCTATGAAGAGAAAATAGGTGGAGGAAGGGAGAAAAACAACAAACAAAATAATGATCCTAGAAAATCGATATAGGCCACACTACTCTGAAGTCCATACATCAGTAGGCAGGTATGAAAGTAGCTTATATATGTAAACAGGTTGCTGTTATTTTCTTCTGAAGTTTAAGTTGTCTAGCTTCAGTTCACAGGGCTTCACAAAGCACAGCTTAGCTTTCAGTGACTCCAAATTAGGAAAAATAGAAAAAAGAAAGGGAAAAAATTGAAAACGTTATATTGAAGACTTGTAGCCAAGAAAAACTAGAATTTGGTCCAAACTGTAGAAAATAATAAAAATTGAAAAACATTGGGCAAGACTAGAATCTAACAACAGGTGTACTATAGTTTTTAAAACATAGTTTTTCTCTCTCCAGTTTCTCATTTTTACTAAAGACAAATCATGGTACGACTGATTTCCTTTATTATACTTGGCCTGATTATTTGTATACAGTGCAGCAAGAATAATTATTTTTTTACACAGGCTTTTAAATTGACTTTGATGGAACTTTATTCCATAGAAGGAATCTCAGAAAAGACTTGTTTAAAGCTGAGCCCTGCCATGGATTTGTACCATCAAATACCTATGAGTTGCATGAATTCCTCTCCTTTTGAGGTCCCGAGGTAAAACTTGGGGCTCCTGGGCCTGTCAGAAAGTGACATTCTTTATTTACCACAGATCAGGAACCCTGTTCAGGGACTGTGTAGACAGGGTATTTGGCCAGCTTTCCCAAGGGGCTTTTACTGGCTTCATAAAACAAGTTTAATTCCTTAAAGGAAAGCACACCATTCCAGTCAAAGCCATGGTAGAATAACCAGTTTCTTCAATTGTGTCCTGTTACAAATAAAAACAGATTATTATTGCACTTATGCAAATAACTATATTACGATAAGTTAAGAATACTCACAAATAGTTTCCAAATTCAGGAGAAATCAGGCAGAGAGAAACAAATATGCTCCAAATTTTGTTCATAGGAGTATAATAACTTGTTAAAAGCTGTCAATAGCTCAAAAGAAAAGTTTCTTGACTCTGAAAAAAACAAAACAAAGGATCAACAACGTTTTAAGCAAAAAGTCAAAAAGATTACTTTAGTCTTCTATAAGTTCAGTCCATGTAGTTCATTCCTGTTCTGCTTGATATTCATGAACATTTCAGCTCTCCATGAGTCCCGAAAGTTTTTCCTCTATTCTGATGTCACAATCTCCAAAGTTACCAGAAACCTGCATTCAAGAGCACCTTTTAAAGTTTTATAGCTGATTATAAAACCACTTTCTTTCTTTTTATTTTTTTGAGATGGAGTCTCACTCTGTCACACAGGCTGGAGTGCAGTGGTATGATCTCAGTGCACTGCCACCTCTGCCACCCTGGTTCAAGTGATTCTCCTGCCTCAGCCTCCTGAGTACCTGGGATTACAGGCACCTGCCACCATGCCTTGCTAATTTTTGTAGTTTTAGTAGAGACAGGGTTTCACCATTTTGGCCAGGCTGGTCTTGAACTCTTGACCTCATGATCCACCCACCTCAGCCTCCCAAAGTGCTGAAATTACAGGCATGAGCCACCGCACCCAGCTATAAAACCACCTTCTAAAGAGGACCAAAACAAGACAATTGTCTGTGGATAACAAAAAGTTTAGGGCAGCCATAGTCAAAGATACAATTGACAAGGAAATTTGTTACCTCTGTGGCACAAAATAATGTAACATAACATTATTACTGATAATGTACAGTAAGTCATATCAGAATTATAGGAGTTTCCCATAATTTTAGAACACATACCAATAACATATTTATACAAATACAGTCCAAAGAAAACCAAACACAATTTCATACTTGACAATGCTTTCTGTATAATTTTTATACCAAATAAGCCAAATTATGTCATTTTTGGACTTTAGGGAACCTAGTATCTTAAATGATTAGGACAGAAAAATACATAATTTATAATTTGATTTTGGAAAGTTTGTCAGATATCAAAGGTTTAAAACACTTGATATCACAGGTCATTGTAAAATAAGTCACTCATTTGACCAAAGTGATAGCTGAAGGATTTCAAAAAACAGGCAAAAGCTTTCATTGTTTTGGAGAGGAGACTTAATTTTTCAAACAATAAACCCTCATTTAAAAAAACAGCAGGAAGCTAATTAAATTTGTTTTTCAAAATTTTATAAACAAGCTATAAAATTTTAATCTTAACCATAACGTATAACTTCCATAAGCCTTTTATAACCTTTATTAAGGAGTCAGTTAATGCTTCAAGAAAATGTTGTTAATCTGACACAGGGGCCCATGTGCTGGTCTTGTGTCAGTGTGCCTTTGACATTAGTGATTAATTTACAGAGAAACTCAACTTATTTTCTCTCTCAAAATTGGCCCTTAGAATCTCACATGCCCATGCTAGTCCCCGGGCCTTGAGGAGTTGAACAGCTTTAATTCTGTGTGTCAGGATGCAGTTCATTTTGATTGGCATCTTCTACTGGGCCTGAGGATGAGGCTTGAATCGCTGTCAGTGTTTAAGATTTTCTACTGGGCCTGAAGATGAGGCTTTAATTACTGTCAGTGTTTAATATTTAGCAGGACTTGGTGCCCTTTTTAGACCCAGGAGTCAAAGCCCTGTAACTCTATGTCGGAAGGACTTGAAAAGCGCATACAAAAAGATACATGGATGTACTAACCCTAATTTAAGAAAATTTTTTCAATCTCAGTTTTTTTCTTAAGTAAATCAAAATTTAATAATAATGGCAATTATTTCAGTAAACCATAAAATCTGTTAGGCCAGTTACCAAAAGGCAAAAGAAAAGACCTTCTGCACTGCACAGAATATGATGATGAAAGACGACATTTCCTTTAGGCCTTTAAGAGAATATTGTTAGCATCAGGTCACAAGAAACAGAACTGGAGGAAAAAGACTTTTAGGAGCTGACAATGAGTTGAGGGAGAGCATTACTATTGTGCACCCTTTCAAAGAGGAGAGAAAATAAAAAATGGTGAGATGCAATAAAAGTTGAACTTTGGATTAAAAAAATCAGAGTCTCTTATAATTTATTAAGAGTAAATAAGTCCCTCAAGAAAATTCATTGTTTTAACCAATTATTTAGTGTGTAAGTTTTTTTTACATCAAAGCCCAATCTCTAGAAAGATCTTCCGCCTCAGCCTCCCAAGTACCTGGGATTACAGGTGTGCACCACCACATCCAATTGATTTTTGTATTTTTAGTAGAGACTGGGTTTCGCCATGTTGGCCACGCTGCTCTTGAACTCCTGACCTCAGGTGATCCACCCACTTCGGCCTCCCAAAGTGCTGGGATTACAGGCATGAGCCACTATGCGTCTGGCCCTATTTGTATTTTAGATTTGTGCTGTTCAAAAGGTTTCCCCAGTAAGCATATACTACTTTTATAATGAAAATTTTAAAATTTTTATGGATTTTGTTTTTTTCCCCCAGATTTACTGAGGTATGATTGATGAATTAAACAAAAAACAATACTGTATATATTTAAGGTGTACAGCGTGATGATTTATTTTGTGAACTGATGACACAATCAACTTAATACACATCTATCACCTCATACAATTATCCTTTTTTTTTGGAGATACAGACACCTAAGGTCTACTCTCTTCGCAAATTTCAAGTTATATTAATGAGAGCCACCGTACTGTATGATTTTAACTGTAGCCACCATGCTGTATAATGTTAACTCTGGCCACCATGCTGTATAACATTAACTCTAGCCACCATGCTGTTTATCAGACCTTCAGAACTTCACCTTGTGACGGGAAGTTACACCTTTAATCAGCATCGCCACAGTCTGCATTCCCCCAGCCCCTGGCAACCACTGTCCTATTCTGTTTCTGTGAGTTGTGACAGTTTTAGATCCACATATGAGTGACATGCAGTATCTGTCTTTCTGTGCCTGGGACGTTTCACTTAACATAATGACTTTGGGTTCATCCACATTGTCACACATGACAGGATTTCCTTTGTTTTCATAGCTGAATAATATTCAGTTGTGTATACACACCACATTGTCATTAAACACCAAAAATTTTTAGGTTGTTTCCATATCTCGGGTATTGTGAATAACGCTGCAATGAACATGGGGGTCCAGGTGTCTCTTTGAGCTTCTGATTTCATGCCCTTTGGATATACACCCAGAAATGAGGTTGCTGGAGCACATGGTAGTCCTGTGACTTTTGAGGAACCTCCAGAGTTTTCCACAATAGTTGTACTAATTTACATTCCCACCAACAGCACACAGGGTTCCCTTTTCTCCACATCCTCACCAACACTCACTATCTTTTGTCCTCTTGGTAACAGCCATTCTAACTGGAGCGAGATGAGATGATACTCATTGGGGTTTTAATTTGCATTTCTCTGGTGCTTAGTGATGTTGAGCATTTTTTCATACATCAACTGGCCATTTGTATGTCTTCTCTGGAAAAATATCTATTCAAGTCCTTTGCCCATTTTTAGCAGGGTTGTTTTTTAGTAGGGTTTAGTAGGTTGGTTTTAGTAGGGCTTTTTTTTTTTTTTTTTTCTATTTTAGATACTAAGATATCATTAGATATATGGTTTGGAAAATATTTTTTCCCAACCTGTAGTTTTGCTGATTTTTTTTCTTGGCTGTACTGACACTTCTTAACTTTTAAAGTGACTAAAGTAACTGCCACTGTATAAAATTAAAGTTTTTCATTTTCATTATGCGGAGAAGACAGACTTATCTATCCCAGGAATCAGTATAAACACAGAACCCACTAAAACAAGAGAGATTTTGCCAGAAAACCCCATGTGACTCTTTGGGCCGCAGGTGCCTCATCTAAAATCGGGAGAGGTAAGCTGTGAAGCTGACGGCAGCCACTACCGACTACTGAGGGCCATGCTTTCTCACCCCGAGGCAGGTGCTGCTGTCCTCACTCTTTACAGGTGAGGAACCACGGCTGGGAAAGGCCATCACCCTCACATGGTTATATCAAGGCCTGTGTCTGAACTGCTATTCTACAATGCCTCTATTTTCCTTAAAATAAAGACACTCTAAAAGAAATTTATTCATTTTTACAAAGGAAATAAAGTAGAAATTAGATTCCTACCCTGTGGCAACAACAGTGTTCTTTGCTCTTATGTGATGGATGGACCCGTCCTCTATGCACAGTGCAATGACACCACGGCACTCCCTGTTCTCTATCAGGAGATCCAAGGCAAAATACTCCACAAAACAGCTGGTATCATATCTCAGAGACTAAAAGAAAGAAAAAAAAAGGGCAAGAAGTGTTAAGCCAACCTTTAAGGTTTTAAGGTGATATCTGCTCATGTGAATAGGTGAAAGAACTTGATCCAAATGGACCAGGTAAATCCAAGGAGATCAGCAACAGTGTCAATGACACTGTCAGAGCCCGAGAGGCATTCCACGCCCAGCAGTACAAACAAGGCAGGTGTGCTAGAGAACGCAGCAGCAACAGCTCCTATGTTGGTGACATACTTCCTACTTCTACACAACCCGAAGAGGCACTCCACACTGTCCGGTGGCCGCATGCAGCTCCACTCGGAGTCTGGTGCCAGAGTGAGGTCCGCAGACCATGGGGTCACAGCCCAGATGGGAGCTACTGGCAACACATAACCACTTAATTAATTAAAATAAATCAAAGCGTTCAGCTCTTCAGCTACACCTGCCACATTAGCAACAGCCCCATGTGGCTGGCAGCTACCAAAGTGGACGGTTGCAGACGAGCAGATTCCGGCACCGCAGAAAGGTAGGCGCCGGACAGCGCTGCCCGCCTGGACCTGCCGTTCCCTCAGCCAGCACAAGTCGCTCTCGTGAGCCTGGGCCAGCTCCCCACATGACAGCTCCTGCTCCGGACAGAGCCGCCATCTCCTCCCACCACACACTTGTCGATGCACTCAGCCACAGAGAAGTCACTGGTGTTCTAACAACCTGCACATTACTGATCCGTCCCCATGCATCAGAAAACAACAAAGCTCAGAACATGGATTACTCTGAATCAATACTGTTCAGAATATTATTTGGTCATGCCAAAGTTGACCCTGATTACCCAGTAACTATTGTCACCTCAAGTCTTTGTCCAATGGTAACAGTTAATATTAAAACAATCCATGGCCGGGTGTGGTGGCTCACGCCTGTAATCCCAGCACTTTGGGAGGCCGAGACGGGTGGACTGCCTGAGCTCAGGAGTTCGGGAGCAGCCTGGGCAACATGGGAAACCCTGTCTCTACTAAAATACAAAAAATCAGCAAGGCGTGGCGGCGTGCACCTGTAGTCCCAGCTACTCTGGAGGCTGAGGCAGGAGAATCGCTTGAACCCGGGAGGCAGAGGTTGCAGTGAGCAGAGATCGCGCCACTGCACTCCAGCCTGGGTGAGAGTGAGACTCCGTCTCAAAAACAAAGCAAAACAAAACAAACAAACCAAACCAATCCATTCAGGAACTCAGAGGTGGTAAAAGAGCCTTAAAATACTTGTTCTTTGTCTTTTTTTGAGACAGGTCTCCTGTTGCTCAGGCTGGAGTGCAGTGGTATGAACATGGCTCACTGTCTCAAGTGATCCTCCTGCCTCAGCCTCCTGAGTAACTGGGATTACAAGCATGTACCACCATGCTCAGCTACTTTTTAAACTTTCTGTAGAGACAGGGTCTCGCTATGTTCTCCAGACTGGTCTCAAACTTCTGGTCTCAAGTGATCCTCCTGCCTTGGCCTCCTAAAGTGCTGGGATTACAGACGTGGGCCACTGTGCCTGGCCTGCTTGCTCTGTTCTTACATGCTGAGTGTCACATATCCCAAGTGAAAACCTGGTATATAAGATTATCAATTCAACTTTCCAACATAGAGGCAATAACTCACACATTGCCTTAGGGGCAGCTTCTCAAGGCACACGTCTGCTCCTGTCACCTCCACAGTCACTGCATGTGCCCCACACCGCTGTTCTCTGTTGCTTTTTACGTAATCTCTGGCTGACTCACTGGGCACGCTAACCCATTCCCCGCTGTCACCATAAGCCCCAGCACTACGTGTCCTGTCTCAGGTGGACGGAGGGCGGCCTTACCCTCCCATATGAGGTGTGCAATATTGAGTGGCCGGTCCGATCAGCCACACAGCAGCACCGATGGGCCTGCCTGCCCTTTCCAAACTTGAGGCTCTGTCCACCAAATGCACGCTGATAAATCTTCCCATCTTCAGTTCTGCTAAACGGCATGCCATAATTTTCTAGCTGTGAAAGATAAAAACAAACAAAAGCCTTATTACCTTAAAGGAGTCAAGATATTCACAGCTAATCTACACTAAACAACCTTAGTAAAAATCTGCAAACCCAAAGTAACCTATTTTATGAAAATGTCAACACTTCATCAAAGAGAAGTTTTTCTTATTACATGTAATACATAGTTCATGACGGACAAAGACTTCTCTTGTGAGCTTTGCTAATCACCATTCTTTCGGCTGCCACATCTGCCTCAACTGCTTACATTTTTTCCAGGACTCTTGTACTAGAAACAGACCACGAGAGCACCCAGAGCCTCCCGCCCATCACCTCGACCATGGCAGTGGGGGCCTGCTCCGTCACGTAGTGGATGGCATCCTGGTCCCCCAGCCAGTCGGAGCCCTTCACGGTGTCATAGAAATGCCACCTCCAGTTGTCCTCCTCCATGTTCCCCAGAGCAGCATTGATTCCAACCTGGAAACACCAACCACTCCTTACAAGCCACAAACAGGAGCCCCAGCTTTGTCTTCCAGGCCCAAATCCACCCGCTGGGGGATTCAGAGAAAGCCAACTACTCACATGGTGACTCCCAGTGAGGGCTGACCTCAGCAGAGGAGCAGCCAGGCCTGACAGATTCCAGATCACAACCCCTCCCAGACTCACCCAGTGATTCCATCCCTTAGCCTCAGTCTCCTCATCTGTGTGGTGGAGACAGAGGGAACTCCAGGAAGGGCTGACTGGAGCAGTGAGTGAAAGGCTACCTGTAATATGCTTATTACCTAACGTATCTGGCACAGAAAAGGTACTCCATGAATCTCTCCACATAATTGTATTAACAAATCTTCCCAACGGCATTTACGGGCATGTGTTAAAGATCAGAAGTGCTTCCTGCCAAGTAATAGACTCCATACTCAGAGTCGCACTCCCCTGTACCCCTACTTCCTTTGGCTGTGTGTGCCCACCACCGTCTTACCCCTCAGAGAGTCCCAGAAGACAGCAGCACAGGGACAAATGAAACCCTTGCCCTTTTCTTCCCCAACCTAAATTCTGAATCCTCCTCTTTAGATGATCTCCTTTTCTTAAGGTGTTGGGGTGGCAGGGGTGGGTGGGGAGGGTAGATGGTCAGAGAAAACCCAAGTGTGACTGGAGTCTGAATTAAGAGTGACAACAAGGCTCCCGCCCTTCAAAGTCCCCAGGGAAGAGGCTCCAGGGAGAGACCCCTGAATGGGTGAGCTGAGTAAGGCACAGCAAGAGGCCGAGTGGCTGGAGCACGGGGAGGAGGCAGGAGGCTGCCCAGGTAGAAAGTGCGAGGCTGCGCGGGACCTGCACGGAGTGGGAGCACAGTGGGGCACCTTTCTCTTACCTGCGCTGCAACAGTGTGTGACCTGGTAGGAAACAGCTTGGTAACACATGCTGTATCAAACTCTGCCTCGGAAAGGCCAAATGCAGCTCGCAAAGCCTGCCCCTCCAGCGCCTACCACCACTGCATCAAATTCATGATCCACTACTGGATACTGAGCAGAAATCTGGAAAAGAAAAATTCACCTGTCAATCACAGGTTCCACTATGCCAAACATGAAGACTCTTGTGCCAGTGAAAGAGCTTGACAAAGATAAAAGGAGCAACTGCTGGGCACACAGGGCCTCCATCCTGTCCTGGGGCTGAGCCCTGAACAGTGCGGGGAGAAGTAGGCACATTCGCACCTGGAGAAGGGACTGATAATCAGATTCTATGAATGGTAGAGGGTCTATTCCATGGGATCAGACTGAGGACCACAACTCTACTTCAGGGCCGTGCCTATGCTTATGCCTGAGAAGGTGCCAAGGAGCATTCAGTCGCTATTGTGAGCTTATGAGAAAAGAACTTCTCAGCACGTTTCAGTTTTCCAACAGAGAGAGAACAGGCACACTCAATACCAAGGAACCCACACCGGAAGGGCCCCACGGTCCTCTTTTCAGTAGGATTTTATCATCTATCACAGCAGATACTGTTCATTTTAATTTATTGCTTTACTTGACCTAAATTTAAATCTAATTTATAGATACATAACAGATACAAGTAAAAATGTTAACATCTATGTTTATATTGGTACTTGCAATTAAGTATTATTACACTGAAAATAATTTCAGCATGCATTGGATACCTATGAGAAATTTTTCCCTTATGTCTATGACTCATATGAAAACAAACTGGTATAGATCCTTACCCCCAAGGCAAAAAATTCATTTATAATGGAACAAAAAGCATGAACTTACGGAATCTGAAACTTTAGCAGATGCCCTCTCGTTCCTTCAACAGTGAAGTGAACACCTCGGGTTCCTGTTTGCAACACTGTTGGCCACTGGAGACACAGAAGACACAGATCCAGAGGGTTAGTGTCCTGAAGGAACAAATGCTGCGGGGGATAGTAATTCAAACTTCCCCTTGCAAACTGTTCACCTTCTTATGTACCCAGGTGCTCCTGTGCATCCAGAGAGCTCAGCTGGGACCCTCTACTTAACCCTGAAGGGCAGCCCAAGGGGCAAGGAAGGACTGAGCCCCCAGGTCCTCCTTTCCACCCTGACTTGGCACTCTAGAAAACCAGGATGAAGCTTGTTTCCAAAAAGGATACTCACTGACTCAGATACGAGATGAAAAAGGCGCACTTCCTCTGGGAAGTCTTCACTTATGCTACTTAGTGGAGGAGGGGAAAGACATCCAGATCGTATTACTGTATGTGGTATTTTGCAAATAATGAAGCATTTTAACTGGCTCCATCAGAGCCCTTTCCACATTACAGTTCCAATCGTCCAGGAGGGCTTGCGTTCAGTTCAAAAGGCACTGGACACCTGAATCAGGAGATCTGTATCCTGGAACAGTAAAGGCTGACAGCCCAGAGGGAAGAGGTGTCATCCCTTCATCACACAGGAGGATGTCGGATGCACACTCTCCCCTGCCTGGTTGCTGCTGGCTTTTTCCCGGCCAACGTCTACAACTTGACATATCTCGCTGCTTAAATTTTCCATCTTAGAAACCTTTACTCAAGAAAACTGGTTTTAGTGTTTAGTTTTTAGTGGCTCTGTGTGAGAGAGGTCACACTGTCCCATATGCTAAGGTTGGCCAGCCATTTAGGGGATACGTTTTCCATTCTGCTGGCGGCATTTTAGAAGACCACTGAATAGTCTCAGAAATATCATCAAGAATAGTTTTAGGGGCTGGGCGCGGTGGCTCATGCCTGTAATCCCAGCATTTTGGGAGGCCAAGGTGGGCAGATCACCTGAAGTCAGGAGTTCGAGACCAGTCTGGCCAACATGGCAAAACCCCCTCTCTACTAAAAATTAGCTGGTCGTGGTGGCGGGCACCTGTAATCCCAGCTACTTGGGAAGCTGAGGCAGGAGAATCGCTTGAACCCAGGAGGCAGAGGTTGCAGTGAGCCGAGACTGTGCCACTGTACTCCGGCCTGGGTGACAGAGCGAGACAATGTCTCCAAAAAACAAAAGAAAAAAAAAGCTTTAGGAAATTATGCACTCAGCAATCAGAAGAGGGGATGTGAGGGATGTCTTCAAGTATTTAGAAATACTGGCAATTCACAAATTACTTATTATGTGGGATAAAAAATTATTCTTCATTTCTCCAATTTCTAGTCTGTTTTTATTGACATAAGCTAATTTAGTTTTTTCTTTTTTCAGAAAATGAGAAAACGAATATTCTTCTACCTTAGTATAATTTTTTACATGGTAAAATCATATTTTAAGAAAGAAGTCTTTGAAATAATTTTAATAAAAACGTTCTTGAAAATTTTGTAAAGTGCCCTATTAACATAGGTAATAGCACCAATAAAAACAGTACATTATACCAAATGTAAGTAGAAACAGTGAGATCACTAAATGTTTATTCGTTCTTTCTAGGATGTTGATGTGGAATACACACTGCCCACCCCCCACCACACACACACAGCTGGCTTAAAAGGGGCAGCTACTATAACACAATCTTGAACAAATCATCACGCCATCCCCCTGGGGAAAAGGACACTAACCCTCTGCATCTAAATCTCATCTGGGGCAGATTTTTGAATCTGGAAAGCCCAACTTCAAGCCAATGTCAGTCTTTAGATAAAACTCAAAACTACTTTTGACACAAAACTAGTCTTTTGTGCCAATTATTAATTTTTTAGGAGAAACTATCAAACATTTCCTCTAAGAAAAAAAATGGGGAACATATAACTAAAAGGAATACTTAGACCTTGCTTAACAATACAGAATTTCAGATGACTGAATCAGGAGGTGGAGGGGGAAAAGTAACAAGTGCAGAGACATTCATATCCGAAATCTAGCAAAGTAAGGGTCCCTCATCGAATAAAATGCACCTATAAATCATGAGCAAGAACGAATCTGCATGTACAACCTACACAATCACAAAAGCAGCCAACGAAGAACCCAAAAACGCACGACTTTCTGTAGGAAAAGCTACCTTCATCAAGATAAAAAGACTTTTACAAAACCCAAGACTAAATTTTGGTTCCATTTTGCTATCTTGCCATCTGGTCTGAGGTGCCTGGGGCCTTAGTCTGCAGAAGGAACACTGGGCACCATCTGGGTTGGGGACAAAGGCACTGGCTCTATCTAGCTTCTCTCCAACCACAAGCTACCACTGCCCCTAAAAAGTCCCACTGACCATGGGCTTCACCTCCTGCTTGTGGACGCCCTCCCAGCAGCTCCTAAGAGCCCAAGATGCGGCGGGGGTCTCTGCTCAGTCAGCACCAACCACAGCAACACGCTAGAACGGTTTACACGCTTTCCGATGTTGACAGGATGGCTGTATGACTAATCCTCACATTTAATTCAAAGAGATTTTCAATAACTATTTCAAAAAGGAGAGAATTGCACAATCACAGGCATAATTCAAATCAATATTGCTGAATGCCTTGGTTCCTATTGAGATTTTTACTCTGCAATTTAAAATTACTTTGTAATTAAGAGGTGGGTGGCTAAGTTCATTTAAAAGAACCAAACAACTAAACCTATCCAATTTCGCTTGATTAAATAAAATCCTAGAAGGCCGATTCTGAAGATGCAATCGTAGAGGGCACACTCAGACACTCAGAGAGCAAGGGCTCAGGGAAGTATAACCCTGACCATCATCCTGGACTAAGCCGAGCCCGGCCCTCGAGGTACTCAGCGCACAGGCAAGCACAGGTCCTGGAGTCCTCGCTCGGTCAGTGCCCTGAGCTCTCCGTCTGATTTTTAAAAACTGGCACAGCTGCTTTTAAACACCGGCACATTTTTGGTGGCACAAGGGCCACCAAACAGGACCCAAAGTACAGGTCCTTAACTTCCAAGATCCCGAAGTGGACATGCACAGATTTGCGCTCTCTGGAAAGGGGAACTGCAAGCCCAAGCTCGGGCGCGCCGCGCTTCCCACCGGACACCCACCCGGCCGAGCCCGGCCACTCCTCGCACCCACCCGGGCGGTTTCACCCGCCCCGCCAGCCCCACCCACGGGCTGCGGGCGGCCCCGCAGGACAACCCTCACAGAGGGCGGCAGAGGCCCGGCCCAGCCAGGACTCCACCCCGGTGACCTTGGGCAGACACGACTCCTCCCCGAGTCCACCCGCCAGGCAGAGGCGAGGGGCTACCTCAGCCCGCGAGGTCGCCGGACCCCAGGCCCGGACCAAAGCGGCGGAGGGGACGCCCAGCAAGCCCGCGGGGTCGCGACCTTCACCGGGACGCGGCCTACCTGCTAAGGACCGAGCTCCCCAGGCCCCCGAGTACACTCCGCGGCTCCCCCTCGCACCGGCCCAGGGCTCTCCCAGCCCCTTCCCGATCCCCGGGCAGGGGGCGCGGGGACCCGGCGCCCGCTCCGCTCGGACCCGCTGGGGACCGTCCCGCTCCTACCGCCGCCTCGTCCCCCGCCTGCCCTGCCCCGGTCCGCGGCAGGGACTCACAGCCTTGGCCAGCGCCAGCGCCAGGCGCCGAGCGCTTAGCAGCCGCGACAGGCTCCGGACCCCCGATACGTCTGCAGTCGCCTCCGCGCAGTCCCGCCAGTCCCTGCGCAGACTGCGCCTGCGCACCACGGCCGGGTCAAGGCGGGGCGCTAGTGGGGGACATTGCGCCTGCGCACCACGCCACGCCCGGGCCGGGGTCTAAGGGGCGGGGACGCCGCGCCTGCGCAAAGCGGACCCGCGGACGGTGGCGCTGGGTGGCCACGGAGGTCCCGCGCTCCCCGACCGAGATAGGGCGGGCCCTATTTCGGAGAGGTGTTTGGCACCAACATTTTTTAAAGCCCCGTGGGTGGTTCTCCGGGATCTCCCAGACCGAGAGGGCCTGAACGTCCAGACCTCAGGGAATGGGGTCGAAGGGGCGGCGCTCGTCCGCGGAGGTGGGCGGGAGCGGCCCGGGGCCTCGGGCCTCTAGAGAGCGGGAGTGACCCTCGGTTTCTGGCCTCCGAGGGGCGGGAGCGATCCTCAGCCATGTCCCTAGTCTCTGGCTTGCGGCTGATTTTTAAATTTTTTGTAGAGGCCGGATCTTGCTCTGTTGCCCAGGCTGGTCTCGAACTTGTGGCCTCAAGCGATCCTCCCTCCTGGGTCTCCCGAAGTGCGGGGATTACAGACAGAGCCACTGCGCACGGCCGTGGTCAGCTTTGAAAGCTGGGTAGATCCCTTTGGCTTATACGCCTTTCTGCTAGCTTACCCTGATTCTGCTTCTGGTTCAGATAGTATTTTAATATTTCTAGTGTGTCTTTTTGTAAGATACCTGAAATCTTTTTGTGGAATGAAGTGGCATGAAAAATAAACCAATAATCATTAGTAAGTATGTTTCCTGTCTTTTCACTTTATTAAAATCTTCGTCTTGTGCATCATGTTTAACAATTTTATTTTAATAAATTTGCAAGGGTTCAGTCCCATTTTATTGATATTTGGGTTGTTTCCCATTTTTGCTCTTAATAACACCGTACAGAACATATTTGTGACCATAACTTTCTCTTTAGGATTATTTTTTTAGATGTATGCCCCAGACGTGGCCTTTATTGGCTTGCAGGGAATGAACATCATACCTCCTAGACTTATTTTTTTAAAGTTACGCTGTTTTAGTCCTGGGTTAGTTACCTAATTTTGTTTGGTTTGAGACGGAGTTTCGCTCTTGTTGCCCAGGCTGGAGTGGAATGGCGGGATCTCGGCTCACCGCAACCTCTGCCTCCAGGGATCAAGACATTCTCCCGCCGAGCTTACAGTGAGCAGAGAGGGCACCACTTCACTCCAGCCTGGGCAACAGAGCAAGACTATATTGCTTTAATTTACTCTGCCGGCTATCTGGAGAGATGCAACCTCATCAGCAGAAATTATTTCCACTTGCTGCTTTTTAAATGTTATTTCCTATAGCCAGGTACTGAGCCCTTCAATTGAGGTCTAAACCCTCCACCCTCTCCCTCCGGGATTGCCAAGCCTGTGGTTTCAGTTCCATGCTCCCAGGTAGATTATGTCAACTCAAAGTCAATGCGCTTATGAAATACTTTTTGTGGTTTTTTTCTTAATTTTAAGAGGTTTTTTTTTTAAATATGTTTTTGTTTCATGGAGGCGACACCCTCTGTCTCTGAGTTGTGGGAGCCTTCCTCCTTCAGTCTGCATGTACTGAAGCCAGTGTTTGCCGTACAGCCCCTCAGCCGCAGCAGCCCACAGTGAGGTGCAGGTGCTCACGCCATCGCCCCAGAGAGCTCCTCCATTCGCCCCTCCACCCGTAGCCCCTCGAAACCACTGCCCTGCTCCCCGACACGGTACACTGTCTTCTCCAAGATGTCATGTGTTGGCATCCTTCGGCCTGTGGCCACCGAAACTAGCTTCCTTCACCGGGCATGTAGCCTGGGAGACCTGGCGCATTTGGGTGCATCTTTCCACCGCTGGTTGGTGTCCCCTATGTGGAAGCATCCGCGTTGGTTCACGCCTTCTCCTGCTCCTGCCGACGGACATTTTGTTTTCTTCCAGTTATTGGCAATGAGGAATGAGGCCTAAACACTTGTGTGCAGGTTTGTGTGTGCACGTTTAAGTTTTCCCTTGGGGGACATTTCAGCAGTGGGGTTGCTGGATGACATGGTAAGGATGTGCTTAACTTCGTAAGAAACTCCCGGACCACTTTCCAGCATGGCGGGACCCCTCCCATTCCCACTGCAGCTTATGAGGGTCCCAGTTCCTCTGCATCATCACTAGAACCTGGGTTGGCCCATGGGTTTTGTCTGTTTTTAGCCATTTTAATGGATTTGCAGAGGTACTGCTGACTGGCATTTCTCCAGCATCTCTATGATGTTGAGCCTCTTTCTCGGGCAATATGCCCTCCTTATACCTTCTTTGATGAGGCCTCCGTTCCAATATTGGCCCTCTCTTTAATACTGGGGTTTTTACTTTCTTATGGTTAAGTTTTGATGGTTCTTCATATATCCTGCGTGCCAGTAGGTTGTGAGATGTG
The DNA here is from genome assembly GCF_000001405.40 of Homo sapiens. Lineage (NCBI taxonomy): Eukaryota > Metazoa > Chordata > Mammalia > Primates > Hominidae > Homo > Homo sapiens. The sequence continues at coordinate 197,630,292 of NC_000003.12, forward strand.
TGATTCACAAATGTTTATTTCTAGACCATAGTTTGTGTTTCATTCTCTTTGGATTTTTATATTGCTTTATAGAATTATAATTTTAAATTTATGACTACATTTAATTTGTCAATCTTATGAATCATGCTTTTGGTGTCATGTCTAAGAACTTTTCGCCTAACCCCAGGCCATACGAATTTTCCCCTGTGTTTTTAGCTAAGGGTTTGATAGCGTTAGGTTCTCCATTTAGGCCTTTAATAAATGTTGAGTAACATTTTGTGACCGCCATGGCCATACCTTTCTCCATCTCTTACGGTATCGGGGGCATTTGCAGCTCCCAGTGCGCCGTGCTGTTCCCGTCTTCTTGGTCCGCTCCACCTGTCATACCTTTCTCCGTCTCTCACAGTATCGTGGGCGTTTGCAGCTCCCAGTGCCCCGTGCTGTTCCCGGCTTCTTGGTCCGCTCTTCCTGTGAGTTCCAGGGCACGTCTTAGTGCTGGCGCTGTCCTGGTCCATCAGGGGGTCCCATGAGCTTGTCCGTGTGGGAAGGTTGGGACTGTGATGTTGACGGGATGCCCTGTGAGTCAGGAGGAGGTGCTGACGGGGGTTTCCATGTAGGAGAGAGAGGTGTTTGGTTTTCCGGATGGGGCAGACTTGAGAGGGGACAAACTTGAGAAATGCCACCAATGAGAAGGGCAGGCACAGCAGGTCTCGGGGCCGCCCAGCCGTGTGGGAGCCAAACGTGGATGTGTCAGTGGCCACGCCAGGAGGTAAACCCTCAACCAAGGGCCTCTGGGTGTCCAAGACCAAGTCTTGCTCAAGAGGTGCGTTCAGCTGAGCCAACCATGGCAGAAATGCATAAGGGAGATCCCACGGTTCCTCTGTTTAAATCCCCTGCTAATCCCACCAGTCTCAGAGAAGCAGCCAAGTCCTCACAGCAGCCTGCAACCCCCGCCTGACTCAGCCTCCTCTTGGCTCTGATTCTCTGTACCCTTCTATCCCTGTCTCTTCTTCCATCAGAGAGGAGATCCGGCACGTTTATCCTGGTGGATTCAAACCCATCTTTGCCCCACATATAGTCACCGGAATGAATAGGTATAATCTAGAAACAGGCCTTTTGAAAAAGAAAAAAGCAGGCCGGGCATGGTGGCTCATGCCTATAACCCTGCAGGGACCAGCCCCACAGGGTCGGTGGGTCTCTCCCTGTGTGCGGCGACGAGAGAGTGTTGTAGAAATAAAGACACAAGACAAAGAGATAAGAGAAAGGGCAGCTGGGCCTGGGGGACCACTAC